>NT_113901.1:0-182896 GCF_000001405.40 Homo sapiens | reverse complement strand
GAATTCCTAGACCATACCTAGCAGAGTAACCAGAAGTGGACTTTTAGCCCACTTCTTGAGATATCAGTAACCACTGTTGACTTCTTCAGCATAACAGTCATCTGACTCCAGCCATACCATGTGTCCCTTGAAGCTAATCTGTGCCACCTTTTAGGCTTTTGAGGCCAATTGAGCTCTGACTTCGTGGCATTTTTCACCACATCGACTAAAATGGGCCAACTCTACGATGTTCCCTCCTTTTCCACACATGTTGGTTAGATAATTCGTTGATTAGGTATGCTTTTCTCTGAAAGGGGATTATCTCTTCCAGATTGCCTCCAAGATAAGGATGAAATGTTTGGGGGATCTAGGAATCTATTTCACAAATTTGGAATTTCGTGCTAATAATTCCTGGGTGAAATGTCTTTCTTTCCCATACCTGCAATTCTAGACCAGCCTGGCTTTTGTATCCTCTGAGTTGCATCCCAGCCTAGCAGCAGTTATGGGACTCCAACTTAGTTCTGGTTAAGTTTTATGTAAATATTCTTGTATCTGTTTTACCTGGCTCTACTACACAAAATGTCTAGAAAAAAGTAAAGGGCGACTAGAATAAAGGTGAGATTATAGATATCGGAATGAGACACACTGATTCTGTGGAGATAGAGGGAGAACAACAACCTGGAACGTGGGAAATGAACAACTTAGACCTCGGAAGCTACGGGGAATGGTGGGACATTAACAACTTTTTTTCTTTCTGAATAACCCCTGGTGCAGCCCACAAAAGAGTCTGGAAATACTATTAGAACAGACGGTAAGACAGAGGCTGTGGATTCAGCTCCTTTTGGTCTCCACGTTACTCTTAAGAATCCTTTGAGACTATTCTATCTCTCTGTGATGTAGGCATGGAACTCTAGTGGGCAGTGTGCACTCTCGGTGCCCATGGTTCAACGCCACAGTTTTTCAGATGATGGACAACCATTGCTTTTTCCTGAAGAGACTTAGTACCCTGTGGCTGAGCTTAAGCGGGACTCTAGGAATTACTGATTGCATTTTCTTCTTCTTCTGTGAACTGCGATTTCTCCTTCTGTTTTTCTACTACCTAGAGATTAATCTGTATTTGTCAATATTTAGGTAAATCAGAGACATAAAGCAGATAAGGAACCCTAGACACAGCTTCTAGCATAGCTGGACTCTTGCCTGTTTCTCTTCCCACTTTATGAGATCAATTATATTGGCACAGAGAGATAGCCTTAGATGGGTCTCTCAGGATCAATTAGAGAAGCATACTTCTAGAGAAGCTGGTAGAACAGGGCAGGAGGGCCAGTGAGGATCAAAGCTTCTATCCAAATGTTTTAGCCTAGCTGTGTGTGGCAGACGAATCCAGGAAAGCTCCCAGATCCCTGGAAGGGATTATTAAGAGAGGATCCATTAGATTAGAATGCTAGGTTGGGTGTTCATCTATCACCTTCTGAGTCAGATTTCCAGGGTTAAGTCTGTGGTAGGGCTGCAGAGAAATGCTCGCCTGGGAAAGCCTCTGATCAAGTGCAACATAGGTGACTCCCGCACAGGGAGAAGTCCTCTATTTGAGGAACATCATATGTGTTTGGATGTATCTGTGCTCTTCCTCAGCAGAGGACCATTGACTGAATGACTGTTTGACAATTACGCATAAAGAGCCCTATATTATTTTGAATTTAGTAAATATTGGAACAGAAACAAACAATATTATCTACTTTCAAATTGAATAACAGCATGAGCAACTTCCAGGTAAATGTCACAGGAGGAAACTCTGGGGCCTTGCTCATCACCAGAAACCTTGAAAATCCTGATGCAACCTGTAGGGTTAACCTTATCAACACTTAGTTTTTTACCATATAGATTTATCTTCATAAAAAATATTTTCTTTGGACCTTTATTTTGTTATATGCCATGAAGAATAAATCATTTATTTCCTTTGCGATAAGAACATCACATTTTTACACCTCAAGTATTAATGATGCCATCCCCCATGTAGTTTTTGTTGCGATGGCCTGAATGTTTATGTCCCTTTGCAAATTCCTATGTGGATAATTTTAGGCGTGTGGCCTTTGGGGAAGTGGTGAGGCCAAGAGTTCTTCATCTTCATGAATGGAATCAGTGCTCTTTCAAGGGAAGTTGAAGGCAATGCCCTTGTCCCGTGTGCAAGATGGTACCATCTATGGGGAACAGGGCTCTCAACATATACTAAATTTTCTGCTGCCTTGATCTTGCACTTTCCAGACTCCATAACTGTGAAAAATACATTTCTGTTGTTTATCCTTTACCCAGTCTGAGGTATTTTGTTATAGCAGCCTGGATGCACTATGACACTTTCTTAGGCACTTTGGTCTATTTCTGAATTTTTAGTTTCAGTGACATATGAGTTTTTAATCAATCAAGATTTTTCACAGAGCTTGCCAGTCTTGTTTTTTGCTTTTTTTTCAGAGTTTTCTTGTCTATTCTTATGTGTGTTTTCATCTATATAATATTTTATAGTAACGTGTACTTCCAATATTTAATGGTATCTGTATAGGAACAAAATTGAATTTATAAATAAACTTAAGGACAATTGATGTTGATAATATTGAGATTTGCTGCCTAAGAATATGATACAAATTGTCTATTTGCTTATGTCTACATTCATATATTTCATAAACTTTCTATGTTTTTCTCATATTCTGTACACATTTTTGTAATGTTTATTCCTAGTTTATTTTATTCTGCTAAAAAGTAATTTGAGACACAATGAAATTGCCAAGTGTCTATTTGAGTAAGAGCAATTGATAAATTATAAAATATCAGACCAAAAGTTATTTAGTGCTTCTCTGACAGAGTAAGAAGCAAGTATTTATTGAAAAAATGTAGAAACAAAAAAATCATTTGATTGGTGGTAGCACAACTTTTTTATTGTTTTTTGTTCGTCTGTTTATCTTGTTGGACAGTTTCTATTTATATAAGGATGTTGGCTACTCCTGATTGGTTGAGCTTCATTTCTCTTTTTTAAATAGGCAGCTACAAGAAATATTTAAGTTTTGCTTGTATTTGCAAATCAAGCAAGGTTGAGATCACTTATGAGACCTAACTAATTTCGTCTGCTCAGAGATTATTGAGACGTGATCTCCATTTTAATTTATTTTAACAAATTTTCTGTACTTTTAATTCCCATCCAAACTGTAACTTATAAATTATTATTGTTGTACATATATAGGCCCATGTTGTGTATGCTTTGAAGACATGTCCTGCTTTCAAACTCATTTGTATTATGTTATTATTGAATTTGCCCCATTTATTGGAATTATATACTGCAATCTCCCAACTACAAGAGGTATGAGTTCTGAGGAGATCACAGTAAAGATGAGTCAGAAGTGAAAACGGTTCTCCAACTCACACATGCAGTAAAAACAAATTTCACGTGGATATAATGAGTAATTATTTAAAATTTAAAATACCCTGAAAACATTAACGTTTATCTCATTACTATGTAATATGGAAATTACAAGACAAAAAAACCCAAAGACTTATTTTTAAAATAGAAATGGAGCTTTTTATATGATGAAATGGTCCATAATTTAAATGTAAAAAGTGAATAGGAAATACATGAAATAAAATAAAATTATTTGTAAAAGTGACAATGCCCGTATTAGATTTAACAATATCTTACAATGAAATAAGTTGAAACCTACAAAATAGAAGAAAGTTTAAAATTAGGCAAATATTATGAGCCAGGTGAAGAATAAATACATATATCAATAAGCATTTAATGTATTTTGTCTTAGATTTTATATGAAATAATAAAAAGTAAGCAAACCAATAGCAAGGTAATTTCACCCTGATTGATTCAAACTGAAAAAATATTAACATTTCTCCATTGGAAGTTGGATTCATGGATTGGCCTCATGCTGCATTCAAGGCACTTTAGCCAGGACCCAACACTCATTGCCAAGAGTCATCAGGCTAGAAGTTTGCTTTTAAGATGTTCCCCGGCCTGCGACCAAGACACTTTGTCTTGACTACTTCTTCAACTCTGACATAGGTTTTGCTGATATAAATGAAAACCCAGCTCTATACCTACCAAGCATCTACATGGCTAGAGCTGCACATTGAATATTTAGGCACTAGGCAAGAGGTCTTCCCAGGTTTCCAAGCAGACTTTCTAGAATTTCCCAAAAATACTGACATTGTCTTTTTCAGACCCAATCTCCCAAAGAGAATCAGAGAGATGGTCTGGAAGCCATTTAGAATCTCCAGCCTCCAATTTAGTAACAATGGACTTGGATACAAAGAGGCAACCTACTGACCTCAAAGACACCAGCCCAGATTCTGGGCATTGAATTCCTGCCTCCCCATGAAAGATCTCATCTGAGTCACATCAAAGCCCACACTCTTCTTCAACGTTCACCTTCCAGACACGCTCCAAAACAGCCCCTCAGAATTGTCTTGAGATGAAACAAAAGGTGATGAAGCTCCAGGTTTGGAATGCCTGCCTCATTCCTCACTCCTGAAAAGTCTACACCTGCTGGTTAGAACTCTCATACCTTAGGGAGCCCGGGCTCTCAGAGTGCATCCTCTAACAGGACCTCCTGGCCTTTTCCTCCTTGGAGGAGAGTGCCCAAGAATAAGAGGGAATACATGGCCTCCACTCTCACTTGACTTGATTGACTGATTAACTGATGTCTGAGGAGGAAACATATGTAGGGAACAGCCTGGGTCTTTTGAATCCCTGTTCCCCAGCTATGATGCCTGTGCAAATGGAGGGAGAATCCCAAAGTATTGTTGGGAGGTAGACAGACACTGGCTAACACAATTAAGTAAATATAAGGTGACTTGAAGGGAAATTTATCATATGTCATATACAAAATTTTAGTTAGTGAACTTTATTTAAAAACAGTCACAATTTGTAAGGGGAGTAAAGTATAATTTTAATGGGGAACTATGAAAATTATCTGCACTTGCTATGTAAATGATTGAGTTAGGGGTAACAATCTGAAGGTCATGAGCTTGATATCTGCTACTTAATTTCATAAGACATTTACTTGCAAATGGTTGTCATTTTTGCTCTCACCATATGAAAATTTTTTCTTGCTAAGAGCATTCCTATGAAAGAAAAACTAGAAATTTTGCCAATTTCGGTTATTAAAACAATAAAACTGGTTTGTTTGTTATTCTTAACCAAATGCTCCTACAGATGGCACATAGTACCCATGCTTTGATTGTTTTTTTCCCACCTTAAGTCAATTGCCTTTCATTTTATTCATCAAACTGTTTTTACTGTAGATAGACATTGCAGTTGTCATGTGCCCTATGGATTTGTACTTTATTAGAAATATGAATTCTCAGGCCGAGTATATTGGCTCACGCCTGTAATCCCAGCACTTTGCGAGGTGGAAGAGAGTGGATCACCTGAGGTCAGGAGTTCAAGAACAGCCTGACCAACATGGTAAAACCCCATCTCTCTACTATTTACAGTTCGCATTGTACCTTGCAATGAATATACATTTTATCCAAAAAGCCTAAAAAATAATGAAATTGGGGGTGGGGGCATGGCTGGAAGTATAGATAAAACAAAAATGACACATGACTAGCAGCTGTTAAAGCTGGGTGACTGGTCTGTTATACTTTTTTTGTATTGTGTATGTTTTTAGTGATCTGTAATAAAACACTTGTACAAAATGACAAAGTTTATCTACACTTAGCTCTTAAGGTCTTGGTTACCTTTGGGAAGGGGAAAGTGTCAGGGGCATGAACAAATCTGATTCTTAGATACACAAGTGTATTTATTTAGTAATAATTCATCAAACATTCCCTAAATGCTTTGTGCCTATATTGCTGTATGCATGTTATTTATCAATAAAAATGTAAAGAGTGCATGTTTGCATAACAATCCTAAATTAATATTTTAGAATAATAGCAATGTTTTGTTTTGTTTTCAAGTGGGGCGTGTTCACTCAGGACATCATCAGGTGTATGTTAATGTTCCAAGTTATTTATTTATGTTTTAACTTTTGGGTGAGCCCCCCTGGGTCTTTTAATTTTTACTTCAACACAGTAAGTAGCATGGTTTTAACTTTTTGGAATGCAGCTTTGTTTTCATCAAGGTTCTCCCCGAAGAATGATGCTCACCCAGGCCAGGGCACACAGTGACCCGTGCACAGGATGCACTGAGCACACACGGCACTGGGTGAACCAGGAACAGAAGGAGAAGCCAGCCTGGGTCTGCAAAATATACTTTGCAGGAAAAGCAGGTAAAATGGAAAGGTCACAATTCAGCAGCAAACGTTTTCACATTCATTGGAGAAATCATTTCTAACAAAAGCTGCTCGTTAAAGCCATGGTTTTCTGGCTTGCCTACACATTGTAATCACCTGCACGACTTTCAACCATATTTTTTTCAGATCCAGCTCCAAGGATTCTGATTTAGTTGTGCGGTTACAACTTGGGTTTAAGGGATTTTGAAAGTTTTCCTCCCCGCAGGTGATTCTCTTGCGCCAGGGGTAAGAAGCGCTGGATAGGGGTGAGGGATGCTTTAGCTGTGAGAGATAGCCATGTACGCTTCAGGATTTGCCCCATCGCATATCTGGAGTTCGGGGTCTTAGAAAGCTTTCTTGCCCTGTTAAAAATTAAAGGATGGCTTCAATACATACTTAGCTGCTTGGCTACATTGCAGAAAAACAAATTGCCTTTCCAGAGATCAGTTTTTTGAGACAGGGTTTTGCTCTGTCAGCCAGGCTGGAGTACAGTTGTGTGATCATGGTTCATTGCAGCCTTGACCTCCCAGGCTCAGGTGATCCTCCAGCTCCAGCCTTCTGAGTAGCTGGGACTGAAGTCATGCACCACCAGGCCTGGCTAATTTTTCAAATTTTTTTTTTTTTTTTTTTTTTTTTTTTTGTAGAGATGGCTTTCTCTATGCTGCCTGGGCTGGTCTCAAACTCCTGGTCTCAAGTGATCCTCCCACCTCAGTCTCCCTAATAGTTCGACCTACAGGCACAGGGAAGCATGCCCGGTATATTTATTAAAAAGTAGTTACCAGAATATTTAAAATTCACTTGTGCCTCTCATATTATTTCTTAGAGAATTGCCTCCCTTTTGAAATCTCAGGCTGCCTGCTCTAAAACCTGGATGTGCCAGGAAAGTAAAACATCTGAAATTTTAAAACAATTGTCATTATATTGATTCCATATATGAATAACACATATATATTATTCATTAATACAAATAATCTTACATACAAATGTAAATGCAAATATTTTACAGGCAGGGCCAGTTTCTAGTTCACAGAGGAAGCCCTGCCAGAAAAGGATCCAGGAAAAACCTATAATTCTTGCTTTATTCAACCCAGTGTCAAATCACATATGTCACTCATGGTCTGAGGCGGCAGGGTAGGGAATTGAACTACATCCAATCATGGGTCTTGGAGTGGAAACTATCTAATCAGGTGCACAGCTGGAGAAGAATGGGCAGCTTTTTGGAAGTACGGAGGCCTTGGCCTGTCTCTCCACTCAGAGCTCAGGACACTAGAGCCACCTCAACATAATCACCTGTTTTTTAGTTATTTTAACACTCCAAAAGGGAACTAGTTTTCTCATGCATTTTCCAAATGTGTGGCAGGCAGAGACTCAAATCTAACTCCCTGTTGCCCCAGCCTAACTCTGGCTTGCAATCAGATTTTAAATTTCCAGTTCTTTCCTGACACTCACCAACACTAACTAACCTTCCATAATTCACAACATTATCAACTGTTCTTTATTGTATATTTCAGACACAGTATTTCAATTCTTCTTTTTGTCAAAAAGCAGTGGATGTCATTTAAAAAAATTTTTTCTCATTTGTAAACATTTTACAGGAGATGAAAGCAGAGAATAATCCCCTGACACCCCACTGTAAAAAAAATAAATAAAAAGCGGAAAACCTTTGTGCCCCTTTGTTTAAACTTCTCTTGGCACAGACACCCCATCAGAAAGCCTTTGGGTTCAGGTTTCATTTTGGAAACTTCACAGGGCAATACATCCTCAGCCATCCTGTTATTTTCTTGGTTTTGAATTTCAAAACTGTTTGAGGATTCCCCAAGATGCCAACAGTGGCCATGACTCTTGAAGTGTCTAGTAAATAGCATCCCTTGTGTCATCTCCTCTCAGGGAACAGCCCAAGGTATGGGAATGCAGCCTCTCTGTGGAGTGGTTGTTTGAGATGTGCCTGGAAGGAATCTCTAGGTATACCCTTGCGCTAAAAGCAAACCCATTAGGTCATTAAGATTTTCTTACCCCAAAGCTTAGTTTCCATTCCTTAGAGACACATTGCAGGCCAGGCAAATGGATGCTGATATTGAGGAAAAAATGTTCTCAGATTGGTGAAGGGAGAGAAAATATTTCAAAGGACAAAGAAACCCAACCTAGTGAGGCAGTGCAAAAACCTGCAAAGTAAAATGCACCTCAGGGACACAGAGGAGCACAGGGTAGCGGCTCCTGGTAGGATGGTCATGACCCACTTCACTGAACCAGATGTGAGTGGGGAAAATATCCCAAGTAATAGAATGGCTTGACTTGACCCTTGGGTCTGATATGTCTGTGTTTCAATCGGCACTGTCACCTTCTAATTTTGTCACCTTGAAAATGTTTTTGTACTTACTTTAACTTCACTTTTTAATTAACTGTAAACTATGTTTTATCAGTAGAGCTTGAAAGGCATGAAAATATTTATAAAGCACATTAAGTTGGTGAATTTTGAATAAAATTAAGTAGTAATATATTTCACTTGTTAAAAATTGTTACTTGCCTATTTCTTTAGCAGAATGAGTGTCGTACATTTCCCAGGACTGTTTTTTATTTGTCTGAGAGGTGATTTCAAGCAGAATCTCACGGCTTACTGTTGGGAATGTTACCAGGTGTATTGATAGGGATAGTCTCTCTTCCACTACGGTGGTAGGAAATGAATACATACCTACAAGCACGTGAGGTAGATTAATTGTTAAATTACATAAATTTATCACATCAGTTATTCTTTTTTCAAAACAGAGAACTTCTGATAGTGAGTATCTCTGTTCCATATGCTGTCATCTGGGTGTTTGAGGGTAACGCTAAGTTTTAGGAGCTGGGACTTGGCACCGCCTGGAAGTGTTCACATATGATTGTTTACTAAATGATTTGTTATGAACATAATTAAATTACATGTTTATTTTCTGAAAGGGATAGATACTTTGGCTTTTCTTGTTGAGTTATAAAATGTAAGCCCCTTATAACTTTCTTTTTTAATTTTAATTTTATTTTTTAGACTTAGTGTCACTCTTGTTGCCCAGTCTGGAGTGCAATGGCACGATATTGGCTCGCTGTAACCTCCACCTCCCGGGTTCAAGCAATTCTCCTGCCTCGGCCTCCCAAGTAACTGAGATTACAGGAATACACGACCACCCCCGTTTAAGTTTGTATTTTTAGTAGAGACTGTGTTTCTTCATGTTAGTGAGGCTGGTCTCGAACTCCTGACCTCAGGTAATCTGCCCGCCTCAGCCTCCCAAAATGCAGGGATTACAGGCATGAGCCACCATGCCCGACCATAATTTCCTCTCTTTTAAACCTTAGATTTGAATGATTTTTGCTGGATTCTTCAAACATGAAGTATTTTTTAAATTGAAAACTAATTGAATGACTTTAACTGGTAAGTAGAAGTCTTAGACCGTTGACTAAAAGCTAAGGCTAACGTTGACCCTGCAAAAGGGGGCCACTGAAGGCCCAGTTGATTATTCCTGGGTGTCTGCCCTGCAGACATCAAAGTCTGCTCACACCAACCATAGAAGGAGCCTTTGTCACTGTCAGAAGATACAGAGCTTTGGTAAGCTGGAAGTTGACAGGCAGATGCAGTTGGGGTTGAGATTGAAGAAAAGTTGGGATATTCTTTCTAGAATGGAGTTTTTATTGTCCTGAGACTGTTTATAGACTTTGTCTAAGAAGTTACTTAAGAAGTGTTGTAACAAGGAAAAAGTACAAATGATTAGATCTTTGAGGATCTCAAAGGTTAGGTGGAAAAGGGTTTTATTTCATAGGGAGGAGAAAATAAGTTTACAAAGAAGGTTGGAAAGGAAGCACAGGATGGAGGGTAGCAAAATCAGATCCCAGATAAGATAATGTTTCATCTTGAAGTCAGCCTGTTCTTAGGAGGGATATGTATAAATATGGGTTGTAGGTTCTCTGAGGCTGTGGGTGAGTCAAAGTTCAGGGGCTGAGGGAAGAAGGGGAACAAGCAAAGTTTTGTTAACAAGTACTCTGTTTTGACCACTGAAGACTAAATTACAGAATGGTTGTTCATTTTTAAAAATAGGAATTTGTAATCTGTGTCCGTCTTTGTGATAGGTTAAAAAAAAGGGGGGGGGGGAACATCCACAAAGTCATAATGGGAAGCACGTTTCTCTTCACTAAGCTGTTCTTTGAGAACACAAAGAATGGGGGAATTTCTTTAAATATAGCTATTTCCAGGATTACCTTCACCCACAACTGTTCCTTTTCCTAGACATCTCTTTCATTTGTCAGTTTCTGAGTTGTATTTTTATAATAAAGTGGTAAATATAATTAGACTTATTTGTTGAGTTTTTTTGAGTAACTCTATCAAATTATTTAACTTGAAAAGGGGTTTATGGGAGTCTCAGATTTATAGGCAGTAGCTCAGAAGTATAGATGGGCTTATGGGACATGTGACTAACCTCTGCAGTGAGAGGGGTGATGTGGGACTTAGCCCTGAATTTGTGGGATCTGTGCGAACTCTAAGTTGTGTCAGAATTAAATTTTGGGGCAAGAAATGGGTGTTGGAGAAGCAGTGGGTTTTCAGGGAACTTTACACATTTAGGATCAAAAGTGTTGTAAGGAGAAAGACAATGTGGGGGCCTTTGCTGGAGAGAGACTCCAGGTGTCTCGGGGAAGGTAGGCTCTGCTCTGCACACAGGCTGCTACGCCATGCACTGCCCTGTGGTTCCAGGCATCCTCCCATGGTAAGAAGGACCGACGACTCTGAGGGAAGAAGTTCTGAGAACAGATGCCTTCTACCCTCCTGCCAACCTGAGGCCACCACATGTTTTTCACCCACTGAACATACACACTGCATGTTGACGTGGTCAAGCCCCTCTCAGGACAAGGCTTTGGCATCAAGATTGTTGCCCATCCTACCTTTCCTCATAGACTTTCCCACCAAAAACCCACACACGTGCCTACAAGACCCCTGGCATATGTTCTACTTCAGACACCGAATCTGCAGTGGCAACCTGGTTTTTTCACCATCGCAGATTTCTGTGCCACCTGATCATAATCTCGTCTTCCTGCATGAACATAGAAATAACTCAGAGAAAAGTTTCACCTGGGTCAGTGTCTGTAGCATGAACCAGTCCTCCCACCAACCCTGTACAGTCTCTCACTTCTGGTTTCTTAATAGCACCTTCCCCTCTTTTACCTTTTAGTTCACCTCAAACCCTTTCTTTTATGTGCACACAGTGTGCCCAAGGCCACCCCTCAGTTGCCTGAATCCAGCACCTACCAAAATTCAGATGTCCAGTAGTTCAAGACCATGGGCCTAGACTAAGTTTTTGCAGAAGGCAATACAAATTAGAAATGAGAGGCTCTATTCTCCCATTTGAAAATAAAAAAAAGATTTTTTTCTTTTCCTTTTTCTTAAACAATGTAATCTGGAAAACTTTAATTAGTAATTTTTTGAGGCAGAATCTTACTCTTTTACTTAGCCTGAAGTGCAACGGCATAATCATAGCTCACGGTAACCTTAACCTCTTGGGTTTGAGCAGTCCTCCTGCATCAACCGCTTAATTACCTAGGACTATAGGCATGAACCACCATGCCTGGCTAGCTTTATTTATTTTTGTTTTTATTTTTTTTCAAGACAGTGTCTTGCTCTGTGGGCTAGGCTGGAGTGTAGTGCCATGATCTTGTCTCAATGCAACCTCCACCTCCCAGATTCAAGCAATTCTCCTGTCTCAGCCTTTTGAGTAGCTGGGATTACAGGCGCACACCACCATGTCTGGCTAATTTTTTGTTATTATTATTTTTAGTAGAGAATGGGTTTTACCATTTTGGCCAGGCTGGTCTCCACCCCCTGACCTCATTATCCACCTGCCTCAGACTCCCAAAGTGCTGGGATTACAGGTGTGAGCCAACATGCCCAGCCATATTTATTTTATTTTTTTGTAGTGACAGAATTTCACCATATTGCCTGTACTGGACTCAAACATTTGGCTTGAAGGTATCCTCATGCCTTGGCCTCCCCAAATGTTCAGATTACAGGCATGAACCACCATGAGTGGCCTGGAACACTTTTACATGTACCTTTTTTTCTCTGCTTCTTTGAAATATAAGCAAATCATTTTAACAGCTAAATAAGCCTTCTGTCATTCTTCATGACAGAGAATTGTCTTTATCTAAGACCTGGAAACTATTGCTTTGTTTTTTAATTTGGCAAAGATTTATTTATTTTTTATTTTCAGTCCTTTGAAGTAGGCACAGCGCAGTACAGTGGCTCATGTTTTTAATCCTAGTGCTTTGGGAGGCTGAGATGAGAGAATTGCTTGGGCCCAGGAGTTTGAGACCAGCCTGGGCAGCATAATGAGACACTTTCTTTATAACAAATTAAAATCAACTAGCAGGGCATGGTGGCACAGGAGGCTGAGGTGAGAGAATCATTTGAGCTCAAGAGTTTGAGGCTGCAATGAGCCATGATCACTCCAATCTACCACTGTATTCCAGCCTGGATGACAGAGGGAGACCCTGTCTCTAAATAAATAAGCAAATAAAAAAATGTGTTTTTCCATACATAAAAATAAGTTAATAAACAGATAAATAAAATAGACATGGATTTGCTTAGAATAAAGCTAATTATAAGATAACAGAAAAGTGAGCACCAAAGATGGGGTTCACCTTAGCAAGTGATTCCAGCCTATTAGGACACTCACAGAATTCTCCCTGCAGCATGACCAACATGAAAGTAGAATGTCATCATGTCAGGCTATACCAGCGTCGGAAGACTAAACACTGTGGGGAAGAACCTCCCTTATGGAATATTATCAACAGGTGAGAGACCAGCTCCTGCCCTGATGGGCTACAGAGATGAATTCTTGAGATAACACATTGCAGAAACATGCATAGAGTAGTTTAACCTTTTTTGTGTGTAACCCTTTCTCCATTTTCCTGCAAAATCCTCCCTAGAAATAGTGTTCGCTTTTAAGTTTTGAGGGTCTGGTAGGACTGAAGCTGCATGCTGCAGGAGATACCTGGGGTAGGAAACTAACACAAACTGCAGCTACAGGCACAAATACTCATGGCCTAATGTAAAGTGAAAACAATAGAAAGGTCTTTACTGTTATTCACCCAAGTGAGTGAACAGAGACTTTCCACATAACCAACTTGCCACTGAGACTAATGAAGGCCAGATTCCACTGGATCAAGACTATGAGTTACTCATGGGAAGATCATAGGACACAGCCCAGAGAGTTTTCATACTGGAGTCTGGGTACTGGGTCTGTCCCGGTCTTCTCGGGTTTCTGTCTGTAGAGACCCCTATGTGGCTGCTCTTACCACAGCCCGGTGCTGGCTGTGGTTGCTGGCTTAGTGCACCTGGTCTTTTTCCAAAAAGAGGGAGGAGTTGGCCACATCAAGAAGCTCCTCATCAATCTGAATGCAGCTCTGTAAAAAGTGCCTAGAAACCACGCAAAGAAAAGTCAGTGGTCTGCCTTGTTTTCACCGTATGTGACACCTCCACTAGAAATTCTGCTTTTCTCTGCACTCCAGCCTGGGTGACAGAGCGAGGCTTCCTCAAAAAGGAAAAAAGAAAAAGAAAAAGAGAGAAAGAAAGACAGAAGGAAGTAAGGAAGAAGAAAGAAAGAAAAAGAAAGAAAGAAAGAGAAAAAAAGAAGAAAGAAAGAAAGAAAGAGAAAGAAAGAAAGAAGAAAGAAAGAAAGAAAGAAGAAAGAAAGAAAGAAAGAAGAAAGAAAGAAAGAAAGAAAGAAAGAAAGAAAGAAAAAGAAAGAAAGAAAGAAAGAAAGAAAGAAAGAAAGAAAGAAAGAAAGAAAGAAAGAAAGAAAATAAAAGAGAAAAGAAAAGAAAAGAAATTCTGCTCTTCAGATTAGGCACATAAGGAGAATCTGTATGAATCTCCAGCAAGGAAGGAAACCAGAGGACAAGTTAAAGTCTTGGAATTCACATCTGAGTACACAGACTCGTTCTCCAACCCTCTTCTTTTTATTCTGCCAGCTATGGCCTAGGTATGAACATGACAGGTACACAAGGGTTCCAACACCTGACAATCTGCTTCAGTAAAAGAAGAGTGCCCTCCCTCTTGCTCCCCATACAACTCATGGTACTAAGAAATGGTGTGGGACTTCCCAGATGAGTTGACAAGAGAGGCCTGGCTCTGGGGCCTGTCCTGAGCTGCCCTGTGTTATTTGTAGGTGCACCCGGCCAATAGCCAGGGGCATCAATGATGAGGCCTGAGTTGACATCCGTGTTTTCAGATAAGGCTTTTACACTGAGCCTTTGTAAAGTCAAAACTCAGAAATTTCAGGGCACAATGAAAGAACATCTCACTCTCTTGAGCATCTCTCACTAACAGAGGTGGATACAGAGCTGTCTCAAGAATGTGGGTTCCTGGTTTCTTAACTGATGTTGGGTTGTCACCAAGAAAGTGTGTTAAACTCTTCAAGGTTCCATCTACTGGGTCCCTTCTTTCTGTAAGACCTACCCAAAAGCCCCACTATGCTACTAATTGCTCAGTCTCCTCTTCCATGTCAACTCTTCATTTGTACACAAGTATGCAAACACAACTTCCCCTTAATTCCCTGGAAAGAACTAAATGCAGCCTGGGTTCCAGGATATAAGAGACAGCTGGAACATAACCTTGTTTTTCTTACCATCTCTGGGACCCAATAAAAGTCACTGTGTATTTGAGGCTTCCCCAGCCTCCAAGCATGCACAGTGGGGATGATGCTAACATCTACTTCCTAGGGATTGTATTAGATGTATATAAGATAAAACATAAAAATCATGTGGTGTTACCTGTAGATAATGCACACACTTAGAGATGGAAGCATTAGGAGAATATGTAGAAGGTAGCATGGGCCACAACTCAAACAAGCCTGGGTCTGGCAGGGTGATCTTGGGAATGTCACTTCTCCACTGCGCTTCATTTTCATTCTGCTCCAGTATGAAGTTGAAATTAAATGTAGATACTGTCCTCTGGCATTCATATAGTTTAGCTGTGTGTTCCACCCAAACTTCTCTGTGTATTATAACCCCCAGGTGTTAAGGGAGAAACCTGAGGGGAGATGATTGGATTATGGGGATGGGTTCTCCTCATGCTGTTCTTGTGATAGTGAGTTCTCATGAGATCTGATAGTTTCATAAGCATCTGGTACATCCCATGCTCTCACTCACTTCACTTGTCAGCCACTGTAATTGGAAGGTTTCTGAGGTGCCCTCCCAATTATGTGGAACTGTGAGTCAATTAAACTTCTTTTCTTTATCAATTACCCAGTCTCAAGTACTTCATCATTGCAGTATGACAAAGTCCTAATACAGCCATTCAACTTTCTAGTGCTTTCTCTTTATATTTAGAATCATATCCATGTGCCTTCTCACGTCTATGACAGGGAAACTCTTCACAAAATCTCACAGTACTAGGTGGTTAGTGACTCAGTTTTTTATTGAATAAAATGGCCTACAGCCTGATGACAGTAATATGGCCCTTGGGTTTTGAGGAAAATATCATGTTGTAGGTTGGCCAAAAAGGAGATAGCAGTCCAGCTGAAATTTGTTTTCTTATACTGGCTTTAAGGCAGTGATTAGAAAAGGCCTAAGAGGTGGGTTCTGTAAGGGATTGCTGGAAGGAAAGTAGGAATATGGAAAGTCATGAGACATATACTGTCATCTCTTCTTGCTTCCTCTCAAGTCACATGCAAATTCAGGGAGAGTTAGTATGAAACACACAATGGAAATTTGGGCTCTAACATATGCAATCTGATTCTTCATGGACTTCATTTGGCCATATCAGTTCCAACAATTTCAGCCAATGTTTAAAAATCTTATAAGCAGATAACATTTTAGTGTTTCAACAAGCCATTTCCTATCTTTCATTCTGAAAATCCATTTTAAGTCATTTTTTTAACAGCATAGGGGTACAAATTCAGCTTCTGTCCAATGAAATACAGAAAAGGATATCACTTTTGTATTAGTTCAGGCTGCTATGCCAAAGAACCATAGATAAGCAGCTTATAGACAACAGGACTTAATTTCTCATACTTCTATAGGTTCGAAATTTGAGATCAGGTTGTCAGCACGGTTGAGCTCTGGTGATGACTCGCTTCTGAATTTCAGACTGCAGACTTCAAGTTTTACCATCATTTTGCAGAAGGAGGAAGAGAGCCCTCTGCGGTTCCTTGTATAAAGCCAGTAATCTCTATTATGAAGGTCCCACCCTCAGGAGTTAAGTACATCTTTCATCCGTATAGCATTACAACGGGGGTTACAATTTTAACATAAATACAGGAGAAAAATTATTGGAACTCTCAAGATTTTTGTTTCCTTTTTTTTTTTTTTGAGACAGTTTCACTCTTGTATCCCAGGCAGGAGTGCAGTGGTGTGATCTCGGCTTGCTGGAACCTTCGCCTCCCAGGTTCAAATGATTCCCCTGCGTCAGTCTCCCAAGTAGCTGGGATTACAGGCATGCACCACCACACCTTGCTCATTTTGTACTTTTAGAAGAGACGGTGGTTTCACCATATTGTCCAGGCTGCTTTCAAACCCCTGACCTCAGGTGATCCACCCGTCTCAGCATCCCAAAGTGTTGGGATTACAGGTGTGAGCCACCGCACCCTGTCAAGATTTTTCTAAAGCTCTCATTTTTCTCCTACTGGGTTTTTCCTGTTTGCGCCCTCAATCTTTCTCTGTCTCTTTTTGTGTACACCTTTTTGTCTAATTCTCTCTCTCTATTGTATACCTCAAACACAGGAAGCAAGCTTCAATGCTATGAGATGCTCCATGTAAAGACCAACATAACAGAGCCTGAGGGGGTGCTCAGACCAGTAGAGAGAAGGAAAGTCAGGCTCTCCAGCCACACTAAACCCTGCCAATTTTCACATGAGTCAGCTTAAAGGCTCATGCTTTCCCAGTCCAGCTTCAGTTAAGACCACAGTCCCAATGTCATAAAAGACCTAAAGGCAGAGGTACCCAACTGAACTGTGTCCAGATTCTGGTCCACATAAATTATGAGATATTATATGTTGTTGAAAAGTGCTGACTTTTAGGGCAATGTTGTCAGAAAGGAGCAGATATCTAACCTCATCTCCCAGGCCCTAGGATTCTCCATCCCTCTACTTATATCTTCCTCAGGCTGTCTGCAGCCAAACTTTCTAACCTCTGCCGAACTCACACCTATGAGTCTCTTCACTAAGGGTGGCTTCTCCCTGACACATACTTGTGCAGAGATGTCTCCCTGTTGTCATCCTTATCATGGATTAAACATCACCACAATGAGGCCTTAGTTCCTCCCATGCAATAATTTTCCAGCTTTTCTTCTCAACATTCCACTTTATATTATAGTCCTTCCTCTTTTCTTTCACATATACTTGCTTTAGTGCTTTTATCCAGCTGTCCTCAGAATGTTTGGTCCTGGGTTGGGGGGTGCAGGCATCATGTAATAATTTTCTGTACCACGTTGCACCCACCTGGTTAGCTGGCAAAGGGTGAGCGCAAGGGAAAAAAGACTGGCTAAGTGATTATATGGAGGATCTCTAATATCCCTTCCTCTTTTGACCACCTGATAATGTGGAGATCATTGATAACAACATGAGATGTGTGACTCTTACTTGTTCCAGCTGCTCCAGCAAAGCTCAGTGGGCACCAGAAACAGAGCTGGCTGTAACCACCTCCAGGCCATCACTAACTCTATGGCCCAATGCAGGAGCACTATGGAACAAATCAGGTATCTTGATTTTTCTGTCCTCAAGACACTGGTTCTTCAAGGTCCTAGGGGATAAAGTAGCAGAATCTGAAGGCCCCAAGTACAATGAGTGACCTTGGAATCCCCCTTTGCCTTCTATTTGCCTCTACCTTTTGGGTTGTGCTATTTATCCATGAGATATCCTCCCCTTATCCAGTGAAATTAGTTTCTACCACTTTCAAATGAGGACCTTAAGAACCCAACAGGAGCTGGGATTTTCCGTGGACTTCAGCCTCAGAGTCCAATGCTCTGGAACATTTAGCTCCGTCTCATCTTCATCTACCCAAGATGCCTCTGAAGTGGCCATGCCTCCCTCTGATTTGAAGGACCTACAGAGAGTGGATGCATTTCTGCACAGTCTCAGAGCAAGAATCAGGGCTGGAAGACACTTATGAGTATGTGAAATCGTCGAGGTCACCCAGTTCAAACAGCCCTATTTATGAGGAAGAAAACAGGCTTTCCTGCAGGCATTCTCTACATTACGCTGAGGTGGAGCATAGCTCATTTTACTTCCAGGTGCCCTCAGAGCTGGATGCAAAACCCCAGTCCTGTCATCTTGAAATTGACATGGAGAGGTCCCCATGTGAACAGAACCCTGGATCTGCTCATTCTCTGTGCCCCTGAATGTGAAGCTACAGGCTCTAACTTCCAAAGCAAACCTGATAGGTGGGATGGAGCCAAGGCCTAGGAAGCTGGAGCTCTCTCTAATGCTCTGGAGCCTGCCCACCTCCTGAGATCTGGATCAGTCCCTGCCTCTTTTGGGGCCTCATTTTCCCAATTGTAATGTAATGAGAAATTAAATGTAAAATTGCATAAGCATATGCTCTGTGAGAATTTGGTGTCAGAGTCCTCAATACTGGATGATATATTTTGGTGGGAGGGGTTTGGGCCCCAGAGGTTCTCGGGACTCCTGACATATCCATTGCAGTAGGTGTAGAGCTCAGGAGATCCAGATCTTCTTTCCTGAGCCAGCTGATTACAATACAATGGACCACGGGCTATGATCTTAAATATGATTTCACAGGATTCCCCACCTTCAGCCACCATCTGCTCTGTGCTTCCCTTATTTTGGGGAGCTGATGACAACCTCCATTATAGTGAGAGAGTCCAAGAAACTAGACTTGTGGACCTGGAGAAAAGAAAAAAACACTTTTCTATTTCTCTCAAACTGTAGAATCTGTTGTCAAATATTTAATTTTGATTCCATCTGAGCTTGATAATACGTTCATGTGTTAAGAGCTGCTTAAATTTATTTTTTCTGTGGTGTGGGATAATGTCTTTTCCCATATTTTAAATCAACTTCTAAAAGCTCTCTTTAAAGTGGAGATGTGAACATCTTTGTGATATAAACTGCACATATTTGTTGCGAGATTGTTCTTTTTCTCTTTGTTAAAATGTTTTGTTTTATTCTGGTTTGGATGTCCTTCAGGGTTTTGTTTTGTGGCTATTTATTACTACAATGCAACTTCTCCCCTAATTGACTGACAGGTTTGTACATTCTCAATAAAATCTTTTGGTAAAGTCTTTGTAAAAACTGTGTAAACAATTTTACAGTTTTCATAAACATAAAACAGTCAAGACTGTCATGATGAAAAAGAAAGATTGAGGGCTTAAAAATTAAAATATGACACAGCTAAAGTAGTGTGCAAAGGGAAATTTATGGCACTAAATGCCCACAAGAGAAAGCAGAAAAGGTCTAAAATCGGCATCATAATATCACAATTAAAAATCTAGGGAAGCAAGAGCAAACAAATTCAAAAGCTAGCAGAAGACAAGAAATAATTAAGATCACAGCAGAACTGAAGGAGATAGACACACAAAAAGCCCGTCCAAAAAATCAACGAATCCAGGAGCTGTTTTTTTGAAAAGATCAAGAAATAAATAAACTGCTAGCCAGAGTAATAAGGAAGAAGAGAAGAATCAAATACATGCAATAGGAAATGATAAAGGGGATATAACCATTGATCCACAGAAATAAAAATTACCATTAGAGAATATTATAAAAAACTCTTTGCAAATTAACTAGAAAATCTAGACGAAATGGATAAATTCCTGGACACATATACCCTCCCAAGTCCAAACCAGTAAGAAGTCGAATGCCTGAATATGCCAATAACAAGTTCTAAAATTGAGGCAGTAACTAATAGCCTACCAACCAAAAGAAGTCCAGAACCAGAAGGATTCACAGCCGAATTCTACCAAAGGTACAAAGAGGAGCTGGTACCATTCCTTCTGAAACTATTTCAAACAATAGAAAAGAGGTACTCCTCCTTAACTCATTTTATGCATCCAGCATCATCCTGAAACCAAAACTTGGCAAAGACACACCAGAAAAAGAAAATTTCAGGCCCGTATCCCTGATGAATATCGATGCGAAAATCCTCAATAAAATACTGGCAAACCGAATCCAGCAGCACATCAAAAAGCTTATCCACCACGATCTAGTCAGCTTAATCCCTCGGATGCAAAGCTTGTTCAACATATGCAAATCAATAAATGTATTCCATCACATAAACAGAACTAATGACAAAAACCACATGATTATCTCAATAGATGCAAAAAAGGCCTTCAGCAAAATTCAACACCTCTTCATGGTAAAAACTCTCAATGAATTATGTATTCATGGAACTTATCTCAACATACTAAGAGCTATTTATGACAAACGCACAGCCAATATACTGAATGGGAAAAAACTTGAAACATTCCTTTTGAAAATCTGCACAAAACAAGAATACCCTCTCTCATCACTCCTATTCAATATAGTATTGGAAGTTCTGGCCAGGGCAATCAGTCAAGAGAAAGAAACAAAGCGTAATCAAATAGGAAGAGGAACTCAAGTTGTCTCTGTTTGCAGCTGACATGATTGTATATTTAGAAAACCCCATCGTCTCAGCCCAAAATCTCCTTAAACCAATATGCAACTTCAAAAAAGTCTCAGTATACAAAATCAGTGTTCAAAAATCACAAGAATTCCTATACACAATAATAGACAAACAGAGAGCCAAATCATGCATGAACTCTCATTCACAATTGTTACAAAGAGAATAAAATACCTAGGAATCCAACTTAAAAGGGATGGGAAGGACTTCTTCAAGGAGATCTACAAACCACTGCTCAAGGAAATAAGAGAGGACACAAACAAATGAAAAACAATCCGTGCTCATGGATAGGAAGAATCAATATTGTGAAAATGGCCATACTGCCCAAAGTAATTTATAAATTCAGTGTTATCCCCATCAAGCTCCCACTGACTTTCTTTACATAATTAGAAAAAAAACTACTTTAAATTTCATATGGAATCAAAAAAGATCCTGCATAGACAAGACAATCCTAAGCAAAAAGAACAAAAGTGGAGGCATCACACTAGCTATCTTCAAACTATACTAAAAGGCCACAGTAACCAAGACAGTATGGTACTGGTACCAAAACAGATATATTGACAAATGGAACAGAACAGAGGCCCCAGAAATAACATCAAACATCTACAACCATCTGATCTTTGATGAACCTGACAAAAACAAGTAATGGGGAAAGGATTCCTTATTTAATAAATGGTGTTGGGAAAACTAGATAGCCATATGCAAAAAAATGAAACTGGACGTCTTCCTTACTAGTTATACAAAAATTAACTGAAGATGGATTAAAGACTTAAATGTAAGACTTAAAACCATAAAAACCCCCCAAAAAACAAAGGCATTACCATTCAGGACATAGGCGTGGGCAAAGACTTCATGAATAAAACAGCAAAAACAATGGCAACAAAAGCCAAAATTGACAAACGAGATGTAATTAAAGTAAAGAGCTTCTTCACAACAAAAGAAACTATCATCAGAGTGAACAGGCAACCCACAGAAAGGAGAAAATTTATGCAATCTATCCATCTGACAATGGGCTAATATGCAGAATCTACAAAAAACTTAAGCAAATTTACAAGAAAAAAACAAACAACCATATCAAAAATGGGCAAAGGACATGAACAGACACTTCTGAAAAGAAGACATTTATGCAGCCAACAAACATATGAAAAAAAAACTCATCATCACTGGTCATTAGATAAATGCAAATCAAAAACACAGTGAGAAACCATCTCACTCCAGTTAGAATGGTGATCATTGGAAAAATCAGGAAACAACAGATGCTGGAGAGGATGTGGAGAAATAGGAACACTTTTACACTGTTGGTGAGAGTGTAAATTAGTTCAACCATTGTGGAAGACAGTATGGCAATTCCTCAAGGATCTACAATGAGAAATACCATTTGATCCAGCAATCCCATTACTGGGTATATAACCAAATGATTATAAATTATTCTACTACTTAGACACATGCAAACATATGTTTATTATGGCACTGTGCACAAGAGCAAAAACTTTGAACCAAACCAAATGCCCATCAGTGGTAGAATGAATAAAGAAAATGTGGCATGTATACATCATGGAATACAATGCAGTCATAAAAAGGATGAGTTCATGTCCTTTGCAGGGACATGGATGAAGCTGGAAACCACCATTCTCAGCAAACTAACACAAGAGTAGAAAAGCAAACATCACATGTTCTCTCTCATAGTTGGGAGTTAAACAAAGAGAACACAGGGACACAGGAAGGGGAACACCACACACTGGAGCCTGTCAGGAAGTGGGGGACTATGGGAGGGATAGCATTAGAAGATATATTCCTGGCCTAGGCCACTATTGCGATTTTCTAAATTTTGTTTCAAAAACATGATGTTTCAAAAATTGTTATTGATATGTAATTATACAAATATATAGTTCAGAAAAAAGAATCAACATTAATTATGCTTTTTCCAAAATACTTTATGGTTTTGAGCTCTTCTAGCAGTGACATTTTTGCTGTAGGTAGTTGCTCTATATCTGGTATATTCATCATAGCATCCTTTGTACCCTTTACACTTATCCTTCAATTTCCCACTCTCCTTAAGTGTAAATTTTCAAGGCCAGAGCTCCCATATCTTCCCAATATTACTTTTTGAAAAGAAGCTCCTATGTACTGTTTTGTCTGGGTCTTGTTGGATATAATGCTAAAAGAGCTGGAAAATAATAATTTTTTAAAAAATTCGGTGATGAAATTAAGGTAAATATATTTTATAAATCTAATGAACAAAATGAGGCCAGCTGAGAACACAATGATAGTTGAAGAAGAACCTGAGATCCTGTTTCTCTCAATGGATGTATGAACTTAACTGCAATTGGGTGAGCAAAGCCAGTTGAGTTTGTAGCACCCCTCATGAGAAAAAAGCCAACCATAACCACATTTAGAAGAAAGAAAATTTGGTTACATTTCTGCACTAAAGAACAGTGCAGTTAGATAAAATTCTGTCCATTCCATGATTCTCCCTCGGGAAAGAAAACAGAGTGAAACGTGTATGCAAACTTCTGACTTATTGATTTATACCTTTAACATTTAGTGTTGACCAGAATAGAGATAGAGTTTAAATGACAGCTTGGGTCGACTGAGAATAAAGATAAATATTTCTTACAACAAAGAGACTGTAGTGCCTGCAACAGTGACAAAGAGAAGAGACTAAAGGCTCCTAAGAGGAAAGAGAGGTAAACCTTATTAACAAGAAAATACATACAGTACAAAGAAGACACATTTTGACAACAGATTGGAGAAGCTCCCGGAATGACTAGTGTGGCTGAATATTGTCAATTTTCCCATGTACAAAGCTTTTTCATAAAGGATAAAATAGGTAGTGGTTTCTTAATTGACCAAAACCTTAACAAAACCACAGTACATAAAAGCAACCAGGAAATATAGCCTAATGAAACGAGAAAAATATATATTCAAGTGACCCTAAAGAAGTGGAGATCTATGAATTATTTTTTAACTTAAAATCATTTTATTTTTCTTTATTTTTTCATTTTATACACAGGATCTTACTCTATCTCCTGGGACAGATTGCAGTGGTGCAATCACAGCTCACTGTAACCTCAAATTTCTGAAGTAAAGCAGTCATGCCTCCTATGTCTCCTGAGTAAATATGACCACAGTTGGGCACACTACCACACCTGTATAGTTTCTTTAAAAGAATCTGTACAAACAGAATGTTGTTATGTTGCCTCGGCTGGTCTCAAACTCCTGGTCTCAGGCAATCCTACTGCCTCAGTCTGAAAGTGCTGGCATGAGCCACCATACCTGGAATTGTTTCTCTTTTAAGAAAAAAGGACTTTAAATCATTAATAGTAAAATAAAACAAAGAAAGGCATTGCATAACGATAGAGAGTTCAATTCAACAAGAAGACTTAACTATCCTAAATATAGATGCACCCAACTTTGGGGAACATAGAGTTATACAACAAGTACTGCTAGACCTACAATAAGACTCAAGTAGCCACGCAATAATAGTAGGGAAACGCAACTCCCCAATAACAGTGTTTGTCAGATTATCTAGGCAGAAACTTAACAAAGAAATTCTGGAGTTTGATTTCGCACTTGATCAATTGAAACTAATAGACATTTATAGTATACACCACACATCATCTAAGGAACATAAATTCTTCTCATCGCTCACAGAATATACTCTAGGATTGACCACTTCCTAGCCATAAAGCAATTATCCATACATTTTTTAAAAATGAAAATTATGCCAACCATACTGTCAGGCCACAATGGAAAAAAGATAAATATCAATACCAACAAAATCTCACAAAATCACAGAATGGCATTGAAATTAAACAACTTGCTCCTGAATGAATTTTGGGTAAACAACAAAATTGAGGCAGAAACTTAAAAAAAATTTGAAATAAATGAAGAGACACAATATACTAAAATGTCTGGGTTGTAGGAAAAGCTCTGTTAAGAGGAAAGTTGAGAGTGCTAAATATCTGCATCAAGAAGTTAGAATGATCTCAAACTAACAATTTAACATCACACTTAGAGAAACTAGAAAAACAAAAACAAACTAACCCCAAAGCTGGCAGAATGGCAAAAATATTCACAACCTATAAACCTGACAAAATCTAATACTCAGAATCTATAAGAAACTTAAAGAATTCACAAGCAAAAAATTACCCCATGAAAAAGTGGGCAATAACAGACAATGTTCAAAAGAATACATACAAGTGGCCAAACAACATGAAAAAAGCTTATCACTAACCATCAAGGAAATGTAAATAAAAACCACAGTAAGACACCATCGTACACCAGTTAGAATGGCTTTTGTTAAAAAGTAAAATGATAGTAGATATTGGTGGGGTTTTAGAGGGAAAAAACCACTTATACACTGTTTATAGGAATATAAATTAGTTCAGCCACTGTGGAGAGCAGCTTGGAGATTTTCCAAATAACTGAGAGTTGAACTATGATTCAACGCAGAATTTCACCGCTGGGTGTATACCCAGAAGAGAATAAACTATTCTACCAAAACAGCACATGCACTTGTTGGTTCATCACTGCATTATTTATAACAGGAAAGACATGAATCAACCTACGTGACTATTAATGGTATTTTTTTTTTTTTGAGATGAAGTCTCACTCTGTTGCCCAGGCTGGAGTGCAGTGGCACTATCTCAGCTCACTACAACCTCCACCTCCCAGGTTCAAGCAATTCTCCTGCCTCAGCCACCCGAGTAGCTGGGACTACAGGCTCATGACAACACGTCCGGCTAACTTTTGTATTTTCAGTAGAGACGGGGGTTTCATTATGCTGTCCAGGATGGTCTCGATCTCCTGACCTCATGATCCACTCACCTTGGCCTCCCACAGTGCTGGGATTACAGGCATCAGCCACCGTGTCCAGCCTATTAATGCTAAATTGAATTTAAAAAGTGTCACATGTACAGCAATACTACTTAGCAAAAACAACAACAACAAAAAAAAAACTTGTCCTTTGCAGCAACATTAATACAACTAAAGGTCATTCTACAATCAAATTAATGCAGAAATGGAAAACAAAAATACTGATGTTCTCACTTATAAATGGAAATTAACACTGGGTACACATGGACATAAAAATAAAAATAAAAGACAACTCTTAGAGGGTGGAGAGAGGGAGGGATCAAGAACTGAAAAACTGTCTATTTAGTACTATGCTCACTGCATAAGTGATGGAATTACTTATATTTCAAACCTCAGCACTATACAAAATACCCATGTAAAAAACCTGTGTAGGTACCTCCTAAATCTAAAACAAATTTGAAATTCTAAAAGGCGGTCTTACTCTCTCACCCAGACAGGAATACAATATCATGGTTATAACTCAATGCAGCCTCAAATTCCTGGGAACTCAAGGAATAATCTTACATCAGCCTCCAACTTCCTGAGACTACAGGAACATTCCACCATTCATGATTAATCTGTAAAAATATTTTTTACATATAGCTTCTCACAATATTGCCCAGGGTGGTCTGAAACTCCTAGCCTTAAGTAATTGATATGGTTTGGCTCTCTGTCCCCAACCAAATCTCATCTTGAATTGTAATAATCTCCACATGTCCTGGGAGGGACCCTGTGGGAGGTAATTGAATCATGGGGGTGGGATTTTCCCATGCTGTTCTCATGATAGCAAAAAAGTCTCACGTGATCTGATGGTTTTATAAGTGGAGATTCCCCTGAACAAAGTCTCTTGTTTGCTCCAATAATTGTGAGACCTCCCCAGCCATGTGAAACTGTGAGGCCATTAACCTTTTTCATTATGAATTATCCAGTCTTGGTTATGTCTTTATTAGCTGCATGAGAATTTATTAATACAGTAATCCCCTTGCCTTAGCTTTCAAAGTAGCTGGAATTAGACACACATATCAATGTGCCTGGCTAAAACACCTAGCTTAAAGATGCTCATTCAGCTAAAGAAGAACATAGAAAGCTAAACAGAAAAAGAAAACAATTCATGAAGATAATGAGATTATCAATGAAGTGATTAAAAGTACAAAATAGAAACATAAAGTGTGGAGCTGAAAAATAAAATACCTGAATTTAGAGATTCACTAGAAGGTCCAACAACTGGTTTGATCTAGCAGGAAAAAATCCAGCAAGCTTCATAAGAAGTCTTTTGAAATTATATGGTGAGGAGGGTAAAAATAATTTTAAAAATTAAGAAAGCCTAAGGGACTTATGGGATACCATTAAGATGGCCAATATACTTCTAATGGGAATTCTAAAATAAAAAGAGAGAAAAGAGAGCAGCAAAGTTATTTCAAGAAACAAACAGTGGCTGAGAACTCTCAAAATTTGAGGGAGAAAATGGCCTAAAATTTAATGAAACTTTACCAACTAGTAGCAACACAGGGAGACCCATGACAAGACACATTTTAATCAGAGATTCAAATGTTAAAACACCGAGAATCTTGAAGTCAGCAAGAAAAAATGACTTAGCATGTACAATGTTACCCCTATAGGATGACCAGCAGATGTCTCAGCCAATAGCATGCAGGCAAGAGGTTGTAGGATGACATACTCAAAGTGCTGAAAAAAATGGCAAGTACCAACCAAGAACACTATGTCTGCCAAAGCTATCATTTCAAATGAATTAAAAAATAAAAATAAAGAATATTCAAGATCAACGAAAACTGTATTAATTTATGCACGGTAGGCCTGTATAAAAAAATGCTAGTCATTGACATTAAAAAATAAAATAATGATGAGAGCAACATAGAATTATGTAAAATATAAAGTTTTCTAACAGATAATTATGTACACAATTATAATATTTTTGTTATTATAATGAAGATGCACAGAATACTTTTAATTCTGCTATGTAGTTGAGATAACAAAGACTTAAAAATGACTATATAACTGTGCCAATAGATTCACAATACAAAATGATGTAATTCGCGACATCAATAAAACACATAGGCAGCCATAAAGAGGCAGGGTTTTATATGCTATAGTAGTTATTTTTGGTAATATCTATAGTAACAACAAAGAAAATACCTATAGTACTTAGGATTTTGAGACTAGTCTGGGCAACATGGCAAAACCCTGTCTCTATGAAAAATAACAAAAATTAGCCAGGAGTACTGGTGCACATCTGTGGTCCCAGGTACTCAGAAGGCTGTGGTGGGAGGATTGTTTGAGTTGAGCCTGAGAGGCAGAGCTTGCAATAAGCAGATATTGTGCCACTGCCCTCCAGCCTGGGCGACAGAGCAAGACCCTGTCAAAAAAAAAAAAAAAAAAGGAAATACCTATAGTACACACACACAAAGACATACACACAGAGAGAGTAGTGAGAAAAGAAGTAAAACATGTCACTATAAAAATCAATAATATGCTAAGAAAGAGAACAAGAGAGAAAAACAGGAAATAATAGCTACAGGACCGGCCAGGAGCGGTGGCTCACGCCTGTAATCCTAGCAATTTGGGAGGCCGAGGTGGGTGGATCAACGAGGTCAGGAGATTGAGACCATCCTGGCTAACACAGTGAAACCCTGTCTCTACTAAAAAAAATAAACAAATAAAAATAAAAATAGCCGGGCATGGTGGCGGGTGCCTGAATTCCCAGCTGCTGGGGAATCTGAGGCAGGAGAATGGCGTGAATCCGGGAGGCGGAGCTTGCAGGGAGCCAAGATTGCACCACTGCACTCCAGCCTGGGCAACAGAGCAAAACTCCGTCTCAAAAGAAAAAGCTACAGGACCTAAAACAAAAAAGAAACAAAATTAAATAGAAAGTCATAGGAAATCATTCCCTTTTAGTAATGATTTTTTATATATATAAATTATGTCAATCAAAAACATACTTTCACTAAATAAATTCATGAAACAAGATTCAACTCTCTGCTTCCTACAAATGACCACATTATGATCTGGAACACGCATAAGCCATACATGAAAGAATAAAAAAAATTAAATGCAAAATCAAATACTGTCATGGTAGACAAAATATATATTATATCAAAAACTTCCTCAAGAGAGAAGAAGAAAAGGACAATAACAACAACAACAATAAAAGCAACAAAAAACAACATATATCAATAAAAGCAACAACAATAAAACAACATGCAACAATAAAAGCAACAGTAATGTATGTGCCTTACATCACAGTTCCCAAAATATGAAGCAACATTTTACAGAATTGAAACATGAAGTAGCCAGCACATAACAGTAGATGACTTTTTTATCAGACTTTTAGTAATGTAAATTAAAAAACAAACATAAGATGAATAAGTAAACAGAGGATTTCAACAACACAATAGAACAATTAGACCTAACAGTCACATTTATATCTCTCCACTCAACAGTAGAATATGCAATACTTTTAATCACACATGCCACAATATTCCAGATAGACCACCTGTTAAGTTAAAAAACACATCTTAGCAAATTTCAGCAGATGGAATTACACAAATTATTCCTAACTATGATACAATAAAACAAGAAGTTAAAAACACTAACATGTCAAAGAATAAGTAAAAATTAAACAACAAATTCTCAAACACACTCTTGTTCAAGAGGTTATAGACTTAATATTGTTAAAATGTCACTACTACCAAAAGTGGTCTACGGATTCAATGTTCTTTCTTTTCTTTTCTTTCTTTTTCTTTTGAGACGGAGTTTTGCTCTTGTTGCCCAAGGTGGAGTGCAATGGTGTGATCTCAGTTCACTGCAGCCTCCACCTCCTGGGTTCAAGCTGTTCTCCTGCCTCAGCCTCCTGAGTAGCTGGGAATACAGGCATGTGCCACCACACCTGGCTAATTTTGTATTTTTAGTAGAGATGGGGTTTCTCCATGGCTGGTCTGGAACTCCTGACCTCAGGTGTTCCACCTTCCTCAGCCTCCCAAAGTGCTGGGATTACAGGCATGAGCCACAACCCTCAGCTGATTCAATATACTTTCTATCAAAATACCAATGAAACTTTTTGCAGAAGTTTTAAAATATTCTACAATTTTTATGGAATTTCAAGTGATCACAAACAGCCAAACAATATTGGGAAAAAAATATAAAGACAGAGGCATCATACTTTCTATTTTCTAAACATACTATGAACATATAGTAATCAAAACAGTTTGGTACTGACATAAAGACAAATGAATGATGAAACAGATGAGAGAGTCCAGACATAAGTCCTCATGGGTATAGTAAACATATTTTTAAAATGTGTTCCAAGAATCACAAAAAGGAAAGAACAGTCTCTTCAACAAACAGTATTGGGAATAATAAAAATTTACAAGGAAAAAATAACAAAGTTAGACCTTAACTTGCAACAGATAAAAACATAAACTCAAGGCTGGGTGTGGTGGCTCACACCTGTAATCCCAGCACTTTGGGTGACTGAGACAAGTGAATCACAAGGTCAGGATATCAAGACCATCCTGGCCAACATGGGGAAACAACGTCTCTACTAAAAATACAAACAAAAATTAGTTGGCGGTGGTGGCACATGCCTGCAGTTCCAGACACTCAGGAGGCTGATGCAGGAGAATCTCTGGAATCCGGGAGGCAAGAGTTTCAGTGAGCTGAGATCATGTCACTGCGCTCCAGCCTGGTGACAGAGAAAGACTCCACCACAAATAAAGAAATAAACTCAAAATAACTAATTTTTGGTAGCTATTAAAATGGAATTTATAATTTTATTTTTCAGATAGTTCGCTATCATCATACAGAAAGCTACTACTGTGTTAATTTTCTGCAATGTTACAGAATTTGTTTAGTAGTTCTAATAGTTTTTGGTGTAGTGTTTAGAGTTTTTCACATATAAGATTATTTTGTCCACAATCAGAGACCATTTGACTTCATCCTTTCAATTAGTATGACTTTTATTTCTTCCTCTTGCCTAATTTCCTTGGCTAGGACTTCCAGTACTATGTTGAATAAGAGGGCTGAAAGTTTGGACGATTTGTCTTGTTCCAGATCTCAGAGAGAAAGCTTTCAACTTTTCCTTATTCAGTATAAAGTTAGCATTGCTTTTTCATAAATGGCCTTTATTGAGTTAAGGCACATACCTTCTATTCCTAACTTGTTGAGAGTTTTCATCATAATCAAGGCTGAATTTCATCCAATTCTTCTTCTGCATATGCAAAAGCTACAAAAATGAAAATACTTAATGTGATGGCTAATACAGGGTGTCAAATTGATTGGATTGGAGGATAGAAAGCATTGATCCTGGGTGTGTCTGTGAGGGTGTTGCCAAAGGACATTAACATTTGAGTCAGTGGGCTGGGAAAGGGAGATCCACTCTTAATTGGGTGAGCACCATCTAATGAGCTGACAGTGAATATAAAGCAGGCAGAAAAACGTGAAAAAGAGAGACTGGCCTAAGCTCCCAGACTACATCTTTCTCCTGTGCTGGACACTTGCAGCCCTCAAACATCAGACTCCAAGTTCTTCAGCTTTGGGACATGGACCGCCTCTCCTTGCTCCTCAAACTTGCAGACAACCAACCTATTGTGGGATCTCATGATCTCTCTAGGGAAGCCCAACTAATACACCTAGCAACAAACTTAACTAAAAAGGTAAAAGATCTCTACTCTGAAAACGACAAAACATGGATAAAAAATATAAAATACAAATGAATAAATAAAAAATATTGTGTTTATACACTGGAAGAATACTGTTGATATAGCTACCCAAAGTGATCTACAGACTTAATGTGATTTTTATCAAAATACCAATGACATTTTTTCACAGAAATAAAAAAATTTAAATTTATATGGATCCACAAAAAACTCTGAATAGACAAAGCAACTTTGAGCAAAATAAGCAAAGCTGAAGGCATCACTTCATCAAACTTCAAAACTTGCTATAAAGCTACAGTAACCAAAACAGCACTGTACTGGCATAAAAACAAACACATAGACTAATATGCCCAATAAGCCCGGAAGTTAATTTATGCACCTAAAGCCAACAGATTGTCAACAAAATTACCAAGAACACACTTTAGAGAAAAGCTAATCTCTTTAATAAATGGTGCAGGGCCATTTAAATATTTATATTCAGAAAAATAATACTAGACCCTTGTACCTTGCCATATATGATAATCAACTAAAACTAAAGACTTAAATGTAATGCCATCAATTATGAAACTATTAGAGAAAAACATAAAAAAATGCTTTATAACATTGGACGGTGAAAGGATTATTAAAATAAGATTTCAAAACATGGGCAACAAAATCAAGAATAAACAAACAACATTATGTCAAACTAAAATGCTTTTTCATATTAAAAAAACAACTAAAAGTTTGAAGAGACAGCTTAGGCGATGACAGAAAATGTTTTCATATACATGTGACAAAAGGCTAATATTCAGAATATATAAGAAACTTTAAAATCTCAAAATAAAATACACTTATAATCTAATTTAAAAAATGCAAAAGATCTTAATAGATGTTTGTCAAAAAGAGATACAAAAATGGCTAACTGGAACACAAAAAGATGCTCTACATTACTAATCACCAAGGAAATGCAAATCCAAACTGCAATGAAGTACCACCTCATTCCCATTAGAATGGCTATAATAAAAATAAATAAATAAATAAATCAAGAACTAATGAGGATATAAAAAAGAGTGGATGTATACCTTGTTGGTGGAATTGTAAATTAGTATGGCCATTATAGAAAATAGTATGGAGGTTTCTGAAAGAAATTAAAAATATATCTATTATATGATCCAGCAATTTTACTTCTGGGTGTATATCCAAAAGAAAGGATATTACTGTGTCAAAAAGATATTTGCATTCCCATGTTCATTACAGAACTATTTATAATAGCTTATATATGGAATCAATTCAAATGTACAGCAACAGATAAATGGATAAGGAAAATGTACTATATATACACAGCGAAATACTATTCAGCCATAAGAAAGCATAAAATTCTGTCAGTTAAAAAGAGCATGGATGAACCTTGAGCATACCATGTTAAGTAAAATAAGCCACACAGAGAAACACAAATACTTTATGATCTTATTATCTCACTCATTTGAGGAACCTGAAAAAAAGGGTTGATAGAAGCAAAGAGTACAACAGGGGTTACCAGAGACTGAAGCAGGAGGATGGGAAAAGTCTGCTTCACAGGTATTGTGTTATGATTAGATAGGGGAAATAAGTTTTTGTTTTTTATTACACAGTAGAATAATAATAATTAATGAAAAGTTATCTCATATTACAAAATAGCTAAAAGAGACCAGTTTTGGTGGCATATTCTTGCAATCCATACATTTTGGGAGATTGAGGTAGGAGAATCACTTGACGTCAGAAGTTCAAGATGAGCCTGGACAACATAGTGTGACCCCGTCTGTATGAAAAATTAAAACATTAGCCAGGCATGGTGGCAGCTTCTTGTAGTCTCAGCTAATTGGGAAACTAAGGTTAGAAGACTGTTTGAAGTTACAGTGAGCTAGGATTGCACCACTGCACACCAGTCTGGGTGTTAGAGCAAGATCCTGTCTCTAAAATAATTAATACATAAAGATAAAATAAAATAGCTAGAGAAGGAGCTTTTGAATATTCTCACCACAAAAATAACAAATGCATGAGGCAACAAATATAGAAGTACTGATTTTTATTGTTATACAACACATATATATAATTGTTTCCCCAAAATATGCACAATTACATGTGTCAATTTTAAAAAATGAATGAAGACTATAATGTAAAACCTATAGCTGTAAAATTCCTAGCACAATACAGAAGGGTGAAGCTTCATTACAACTGGTCGTGGCAATAATTTGGGGGACGTAGCATCAACGGATGAGACAACAAAAGCAAGGGAATACACATGGTACTGAATCAGTGTATGAAAAATATCCCAAACAGACAAAGCAGAACATGGAATAGATATATGCACATTGTAGTATTACTCACAAACATGTTACCTGGAAGCAAATGTACCCTTAAGGATGAGTAGATTCAGCAAACAGGGCACGTACAATCACTGGGATAGCATTCAGCCTTAAAAATAAGGAAATCTTGAAAAGTACTACAATAAGGACAAATCTTCAAAACATTCTGTTAAGTAAAATAAGACAGTCAAAAAGGAAAGCTGTATAATTACACTCATGTAAAATATTTAGTCAAACTCAAAGAAACCAAGTGTCGTAGTCTCAGCAGTGCACCAAGATGTAACAGTCTCTCGTAGTCTGAGATAACATCCAGAGTTCTTTGTTCTACCTCTAAGGAGATTAAGGAGCGTGAACACAAAGGTGAGGTTGGAGTGAAAGTTTAAGAAGCAAGAGAAGAAAGCTCTTTGCCAGCAGAGATAGGTGTCTGAAAGTGGTGCCCTCTACGAGGCTGGGTCCAGGGTTTTTATGGACTGGGAAGGGAAGGATATGTGCCTAGTTCACAGGCTGTCTTGAAAAACGTGTGGCTCAGCTTGGCCCAGGCCTTTGGCCCGGGATCAATCAGGAGCTGAAGGGATGATTGATAGATGCTGCTTAGCTTGGCCCAAGACTTATCAGAAGCTAAGGTGAAAGTTTGGCCAAGGAGCTTGGCCCGGGAGCACTCAGGGGCTGAAGTAATTATTCATAGAGGTCAGACTTACAGTCCAAATAAACGAGAGTGTCGACCGGAATGCACCAGATCCCACAGTGCCCATGCCAACAAAAAGAGAAGGAACATTTTCCTGGGAGCCCACTGACTGTACAAAGACAAAAGTGCTTCTTTTTTTTCTTTTTCTTGTCTTTCTTTTTTTTGAGATGTACTTTCTTTTTTTATTTATTTTTATTTTTTTTTGCAGTTTTGCTCTTGTTGCCCAGCCTGGAGTGCAATGGTGCGATCTCGGCTCACAGAAACCTCCGCCTCCTGGGTTCTAGCGATTCTCCTGCCTCAGCCTCCCAAGTAGCTGGGATTATAGGCATGCAGCACCATGCCTGGCTAGTTTTGTATTTTTAGTAAAGACAGAGTTTGTCCATCTTGGTCATGCTGGTCTCAAACTCCCGACCTCAGATGATCCGCCCACAGCTGCCTCCGACATTGTTGGAATTACAGGCATGATCCACCGTGCCTGGCCAAACAAAGGCATTTCTATGCTAGGTCGTTCTTGTTCCTTTATCTGAGTGAGCTGGAGGTTTCTACAAGTTTTTATCCAAATGGGCCAGAGGTTTTTCTATCTGTGCAGCCACGGGCATGTCCCCAAGCACAACAACATATGCTAGTTCCCTTGTTAGTGTCTGCAGCTTGATTTTTTCCAGGCTTCTTTATATGTTATGCAGGGATGAGGCACTGACCAGGGACTTTCCAGGGACTCTTCTCTTGCTATCTACCTAAGGCAAGCTAACTAACTTCTTTCATAAGTAATGAGTATTCACTTTTACTTTTGTAAGACACAAATTATCTAAAACCTACTGCAAAACAATAGAACTATACTAACCACTTCTAAACCATATACTTAAAATGTCAGAAATGACAATGGCATGTTTTTAACTACAATTAGAAATTTAAGACTAACTAAAAGGCACAGTTAGAAAATCTTTCAAACATCACCTTCAAATAACAAAGGGTTCTTCTCACACAATTATATGGATTTAAACTATATGTTGATTGTAAATTTAAGATTATTTCCCTGATGACTCACCAAGATAGAATAAAATAATCACTGGAAACCAAGAAAAGAGGGAAATTTATAGCACTAATGTCCACATCAAAAAGATAGAAAGGGCTGGGTGTGGTGGCTCATGCCTGTAGTTCCAGCACTTTGGGAGGCTGGGGTAGGCAAATCACTTAAGGCCAGATGTTCAAGACCAGTCTGGACCACACAACAAAACCCCACCTCTACAAAAAAAATTCAAAAATTAGCTGGTTTTTGTGATGCACATCTGTAATCCCAGCTACTCAGGAAGCTGAGACAGCAGAAATCACTTAAAACTGAGAAGTGGAGGTTGCAGTGAGCGGAGATCATGCCACTGTACTCCAGCCTGGGTGACAGAGTGAGACTCTGCCACAAGAAGAAAAAAAAGAGAAACTAAAAGATCTAAAATTAACAGCCTAACATCTTGATGAAAAGAACTAGAAAACCAAGTGAAAACTAACCAGAAAGGTAGCAGAAAACAAGAAATAACCAAGATCAAAGTAGAGCTGAGGGAGATAGAGACACTGAAAACTCTTCCAAAAAAAAAAGTCAACAAATCCAGGAGCTGTTTTTATGAAAAAAATTAATAAACTAGATGGAACACTAGCTAGGCAAATAAATAAGAAAAGAAAGGAGAACCAAACACAATTAGAAATAATAAGGGAGATATCATCACTGATCCCATGGAAATATGAACAACAATCAGAGAACACTATAAACATATGTATGCACATAAACCAGAAAATCTAGAAGAAATAGACAATTTCCTTGCAAAATAAACCCTCCACAAGACTGAACCCTGAATAGATCAATAATGTGTTCTGAAACTGAGGCAGTAAAAACTAGCCTACCAAGCAAGCTGAATTTGAGCAGAGGTACAAAGAGGAGATGGTACCTTTTCTCCTAAAACCATCCAAAAAAAATTGAAGACAAAGAAGTTCTCTCTAACTCATTCTATCAGGCCAGCATCATCCAGATACCAAAACCTAACATAGATACTACAACAACAACAACAACAACAACACATCATGCCAATGTCTTTGGTAAACACTGTGCAAAAATCCTCAATAAAATACTGGCAAAACAAATCCAGCAGCACATTAAAAAGTTCATCCGCAACAATGGAGTTGGCTTTGTCCCCAGGATGCAAGGTTGATTCAACATATGCAAATCAATAAATGTGACTCATCACATAAAGAGAACTAAATACAAAAACCACATGATTATCTCAATAAATGCAGAAAAAGCATCCAATAAAATTCAGCATTCTTTCAGGTTTAAAATTCTCAATAAACTAGGAAGTGAAGAAACATACCTGAAAATAATAAGAGCCATATACAACAAACCCACAGCCAATATCATACTGAATGTGCAAAAGCTAGAAACGTTCCACCTGAAAACTGGCACAAGAAAAGAATGCCCTCTTTCACCACTACCATTCAATATAGTATCAGAAGCCTTGGCCAGGAAAATCAGGCCAGAGGAAGAAATAAAGAGTATTCTAATAGAAAGAGAGGAAGTCAAATTATCTTTGTTTGCAGATGACCTGATCCTACATCTAGAAAACCTCATTGTCTCAGGCCCAAAGCTTCTTAAGGTGATAAGCAACAGTAGCAAAATCTCAGGATATAAAATCAATGTGCAAAAGTAGCTAGCATTCCCATGCACAAACAACAGGCAAGCAGGGAGACAAATCATGAATGAACTTTCATTCACATTTGCTACAAAGAGAAAAAAATACCTAGGAATACAGCTAAGAAAGAAAGTGAAGGACCTCTTCAAGGAGAACCACAAACAACTGCTCAGAGAAATCAGAGTGGACACAAAACAGATGGAGAAATATTCCATGCTCATGGAGAGGAAGAATCAGTATCATGAATATGGGCATATGGCCCTAAGTAATTCATAGATTCAATGCTATTCCCATTGAACTACTGACATTCTTCAGAGAATTAGAAAAATAAAAACTTTTAAAGTTCATATGGAACCAAAAAAGAGCCCAAATAGCCAAGCCAACCTTAAGAAAAAAAAAAAAAAGCTGGAAGTGTCACTCTACCTAACTTCAAACTATACTAGAAGAGTACAGTAACAAAAACAGCATGGTACTGGTATAGAAACAGACACATAGACAAATGAAACAAAGTAGAGAACCTAGAAATAAAGCCAAAAACCTACAACAACCTGATCTTTGACAAAGTTAACAAAAACAAGGAATTAGGGAAAGGTGTCCCTATTCAAAAAATGGTGCTAGGAGAACTGGCTAGCCATATGCAGAGAATTTAAACTGGAACCCTTCTTAACACCATGTACAAAAATTAACTCAAGATGGATTAAAGACTTAAATGTACAACCCAAAACTATAAAACCCTTAGAAGAAAAAATCTAGATAATACCATTCAGGATATAGGCATGAGAAAAGACTTTATGACAGAAAGGCAAAAAGCTATAGCAACAAAAGCAAAAATTGACTAATGGGGTCTAATTAAACTAAAGAGCTTCTGCGGAGCCAAAGAAACTATCATCAGAGCAGACAACCTAGAGAATGGGAGAAAAATTATGCAACCTATCCATCTCACAAATGTCTAATATCCAGAATCTAGGAGGAATTTAACAAAATTTACAAGAGAAAAAAAAAAGGCCCCATTAAAAAAGGGTCAAAGAACATGAACAGACATATCTCAAAAGAGGACATACATGTGCCCAACAAACATGAAAAGCTCAACATCACTGATAACTGCATAAATACAAATCAAAACCATAATGAGATACCATCTCACACAAATTATAATGGCTATTAATAAAAAGTAAAAAAAAAAAAACAGATGCTGGCGAGGTTGTGGAGAAAAGGGAACACTTTTACACTGTTGGTGGGAGTGTAAATTATTTCAAGCATTGAGGAAGAGAGTGTGGAGATTCCTCAAAGACCTAGAAGCAGAACTACCATTTGACCCAGCAATACCATTACACCCAAAGGAATATAAATAATTCTATTTTAAAAATACATGTATACAAATGTTCATTGCAGCACTATTTACAATAGCAACATCATGTAATCAATCTACATGCCCATCAATGATACACTGGATAAAGGAAATGTGGTACACATACACCATGGAACACTATGAAGCCATAAAATGTAATGAGATGATGTCCCTTGCAGGGACATGGTTGGAATTTGAAGCCATTACTCCCAGCAAACTAATGCAGGAACAGAAAACCAAACACCGCCTATTATTATTCTAACTTATTAGCAGAAGCAGATCAATGAGAACACATGGACACATCAGGAAGAACAACACACACTGGACACCTGTTTCATGGCATGGGGGAGGGGAAGGAGAGCATCAGGAAGAATAGCTGCGGATGCTGGGCTTGGTACCTGGGTGATGAGATGATCTGTGCAGTAAACCACAGTGGTACGCATTTATGTATGTAAGAGACCTGCATACTCTGCACATGGACCCCTAAACTTAAAATAAAAGTTGAAAAATAAACTTTATCACATATGGACCCCTGAACTTAAAATAAAACTTGAAAAAAAATGTGTTTCTGGTGGATTCTCTATGTTAGACCCAAACTGAGGATCTTGAAGCTCTCGCTGGGGGAATCGGGGATGGGGGCACACTGGGGAGCCGCTGCCAAGGCCAACCACCCTCCCTACAAGCCACCTCCCTTCCCGGCCAGTATGGAAAGGAGAAGGGGTATGTGAACAGCTGTGGAGGTCAGAATCTCGGGAACTGAATCAGGCCCCAGCCCATGCCCCCCAGCCCAGCCCTCAGGATTGTTAGATGGAACAAGGCTCCATCATCACCCAGGCATGGAGGGAAGATGCCCTGGTCCTTACCAAACAAGGCCTGGTTTCCAAAGTCCTCTCCGAAGAGGCCTCATGTTTGCCACATCTTAAAAGTCCCCTTTCTGCTGTTCTTGCACCCAGCATGTTGGACAGTCAAGTTCCCCCGCTGAGCAATCCACACATAAGGAGGGAGTCAACACCATTGCTATGTCGGATCAGCTCCAGCGTCTCCAATATCAGTTTTATCAGATCCCAGGAACCTGCCTGCTCCCAGAGGTGACAGAGAAAAATCAAGGAAGGATCTGTATGGTCACTGACCTGGATGAAACCCTTGTGCATAGCTCCTTTAAGCCAATCAGCAATGCTGACTGCCTAGTGCCTGTAGAGCTTGAGGGGACCATGCACCAGATCCATGTGCTCATGAGGCCTTATATGGATGAGTTCCTGACATGAATGGAGGAAATGTTTAAATGTGTTTTCGTCATTGCTCTCTTCTTCCCAGCCTGAACAAGTAGGCAGATCCTGTGACGGGTGAGCTGGACGGGTATGGGATGGTCTGGGGCTGCCTGTCCCATGAGTCATGTTTGTTTCACCAGGGCTGCTATGTCAAGGACGTCAGCCATCTGGGGAGGGACCTGAGGAAAACTCATCCTGGACAACTCGCCTGCTTCTTACATCTTCCACACAGAGAATGCAGTGCCTGTGCAGTCCTGGTTTGATAACATTCCAGACAGCAGCTGCTGCACCTGATATCATTATTTGAGGAGATGAGTGGAGGAGCAGAGGGTGTCTACACTAGCCTTGGGCAGCAGTGGGCCCTTAACCTTCCCTGCTTCCCAGCAATGGCCATCACAGTAGGGGATTTTCCCACACTGTGCCTTTATGAACAGCCTGAAAGAGTGAAGGCTGGAACACCTACCCACATGGGCCTGGAAACAGTGAGAAGTGATTGAAAAGAGCTTTAGGACAGCTTAGATGCCCAGTGGGTGAATGCCAGACCAAGGATACCCAGAGCTACCTGCCATCAAGTTGTTGGGTTCCCGAGATGGGGGTGTGAGAGAAAGAAAGACAGCATGTGTGTTTTGTTATGAACTGTGGCCCCAAGTATATAGTGTTTCAGTAGAGGAGAAGCTGAAGGACAAAGACTCTTCCCAAGCTAGCTTGTCTCCTCTCCTGTCACCCTATGAGCCCCTGAGATCCATAGGGATGAAGAGTATTGAAGGCTCCGTTGCAAACCTGGTCTTTCTTCAGTGCTGCAAGGCCTATGCCAAGGAGAAAGGAAAGGTATGCCTTTGGGTGTTCCAGGCACACATCTTTCTGAAATATTTCTCCAGCCAGTTGTTGCAGACAAAAGACGACATTTCTGGGAAGATGGGGACTTATGTCCAGACGAGTACCCAAACTATCAGGTCTTCTGGCCCAAAGGCTATTTTTACTTACCTCTAGCCAAGTGCCTGGGATGGATCCTTTCTGCGTCTCACCAAGGCTCACCACTTAGCCATAGCCTCAAACCCGTGGGGAAGGAAGGTCTCCCCGCCCTGCAAGAGGACAAATAACTGATTTTTGTTCATTTGACTCTGTTTTAAAATTCTCTTTAAAAAAAAAAAAAAACAAAAAAAAGAAAAAGAAAGCATATCTGAAACTTAAAAAAAAAAAACAAGGAAAAAAGATGAAAAAAATGACATACTTACATAGGTGAAAAACACATAGATATATCTATAAGCAACAAACACAGCTAATTCAAATATAAATTAAATATCACATTGTCATAATGTGTACCGAGTTAAAAAATTATCATTCAACTCATGATATCAAGCTTTAAAAGCAAAAATACAATTAACTGCTCTGAGAAAACATACCCCCCCAGAAAAGAAACACAACAACACAGAACTGAAAATAAGAAGAGAGATTTTAATGCATAAAATCCTGAATACAACATAAATATACAATGAAAAATAAGCCCTTTTTGTTTTTTTTTGAGACAGTCTCACCCTGTCGCCCAGGCTGGAGTGCAGTGGTGCCATCTCGGCTCACTGCAAGCTCCGCCTACTGGGTTCACGCCATTCTCCTGCCTCAGCCTCTCGAGTAGCTGGGAATACAGGCACCCACCACTATGCCCGGCTAATTTTTTCTATATTTAGTAGAGACGGGGTTTCACCGTGGTAGCCAGGATGGTCTTGATCTCCTGACCTCGTGATCCACCCACCTTGGCCTCCCAAAGTGCTGGGATTACAGGCGTGAGCCACCATGCCGGGCTGAAAAATAACCCTTTAGATATCTACAGCTTTAAACTGTGTGCAGTCATGAAAAGCAGACATTGGAAGTCATTGGCATTTAATAAATTGCAGAAAAATTATACAGTAAATACATTACAATCATTAATAATAGGCTCTAATGAGAAGAATTTAATAAATAATCATTAAAAAGACAGCAGAATTTTATCTGTTCTCAATATGTTGCTGCTCTTCTTATCAAATACTATAATAAAACTATATGACTATAATATAGCTTTCAGGAGCTAAAAAAAGCCTTATATTTTCAAATAAAAGAACAATATAAATTTTGCAAAATACAATGAGCATTACTGAAGTATAAAGTAAATATTTGGAATTAAAATATATGGTCATTTAGATACAGACTAAAAAAGAATAGAAATCTTAATGATTCCTTTCTGCCTACAGTGAGCTTAAAATTACAACCAAAAATTTTAACAAATATGTAGCACCTACAAGAAATTTTATTAACAGCTTACATAATGTATAAATTTGAGCAATTTATTTTAGAACTTTTGAATCTGAAAATCACCTGCTTGACATTCATTTGAGAAAGTGAAACATAAAGGAGAGTAACATAAGCAAGACGACAGAATGTGAGGTTCTGCATCCACATCCCCCACGACATAATGCAGCTGCCACAGCAAACGTAAGTGCATTCATGAAAGCCTTGAAATCCAGTTCAGAGTTTGTGGCACCCAGCTGGAGGCAAAGACCAAGGAAGACATTTTCAGAGGGTGAGCACTTGACCAAGTGGCAAGCTTGCCAATCATGGTCCCGGCTTCAAAACAGAATACTGCCACATCTTACTGTAGACTTGGCTATAACTCATTTGACCTTGGTCCTGCCACTGCAACAATCTGTGAAAAACACAAGAGAATTCATACTCACCTGAGACTTAGGTGACAGGCCTGCAGAACTTGGTTCTCTCTATAGTCACTGAGTCAGGCAAAACACACCTTCTTTCCTTCTCCAGCCATGGTCTGGAAGAAATCTTCACATTGATATGATGAAATGCTAACTAACAATATGAAAAATACTAAAGTATAAATGTCACTAAAATGGTAAATACATACTGAATTTCAGAATACTATAAATTGTTATCATCTTAAACTAGACTATTAAAATACAAGATGTTTTACCTAAGTCTCATGATAACCACTAGGAAAAAAAAACTGCAGTAAAGAAAAAGAGAAAGTAATTAAAGCATACACAAACAACAAAAATTACACATTGGATATGGTGTCTCCTGCTTATAATTCCAACACTTTGGGAGGCCAAGGTGGAAGGATGAAATCTCCTTGGGTGTTGCGGTACGTGTCTGTAGTCCAAGCTACTTGGGTGGCTAAGGTGGGAGGATTATTTGAGCCCAGGAGGTTGAAGCTACAGTGAGCTGTGATATGCCACTACACTTCAGTCTGAGCAAGAAAGCATAACTTTGTCTCAACAAAAATGAACAATACCACAGGAAAGACAGAACCAGAAAAAAAAGAAGCAAACTTAAAATGGACAGAAAACTACAAATTTACAATAGTAACTCCTTACCTATCACTACCTTACAAATAAAAAGATTAAAGTATCTACTAAACAGATACTGCTGTACACTGAATGTCATCTCCAAAATTTAGGATAAAATTTAATAGCCAACATGTTAGAATTAAGAGGTGGAACCTTTAAAAATTAATTAAGCTCTAAGAACTCTGCCCTCATGAATGGATTAATGTTCTTATTATGGGAATGGGCTAATTTTAACAAGAATGGATCTGTTATATATTAAAAAAAAAAAGCTCTCTCTCCCTCACATCTTTGTCTATGTTATTATCCAGCAACTAGACCTTCAACATATACCAGTATCATGTTGTTTTGGCTTCCCAGCCTCCAGAATCATAAGTCAAATAAAATTCGATTCTTTATTAATTACCAGTGTGTGATATTCAGTTATAGCAGCCAAAAGAGACTAAAGCAGACAGAGTGGATAAATTAATCTTTTAAACCTCGTAATATGCTGCTTACAAGAGACTCAATTATGAATTAAGAGCATAGGCTAAAAGTGAAAGGATAGAAAATGATATTCCATGCAAACAATAACCAAAGGAGTGCAACGGTAATGCTTAAATTAGACAAAATAGACTTTCTAGCAATGTCTCTCACAAGCATGAAATGAGTTTACCATACAATAATAATAGAGGTTAATTTCTCAAGAGAATATAGCTTTATATATTTATGCACCCAAAAGGGAGGCTTCTAAATATAAAAAGCAAATATTGCCAGAACTGTAGGGAGAAGTAGAAAGAAACCAAATAATAGAAAACTTTAATGAAATGTATAATAAAGGACATATAGTTAACAGCATTGTAAATTGGCAAGGGAAAGCTGGTCTCATGTGTTGCATTTGAGAATGCAGCAAAGAAAGTGGGAACTGATAATTTTACTGCAAGCCTGAGTTAGGATGAAAAACAGGGTGGTCGATTAGAGGTTCCACTTGCCATACATTAAAAAAACACAGGAGAAAACCAGTCCTCCTCTGGAGTGTTAAAATAATTAAAGATCAGAAAATTAGTCTAAAGTGGCTCTAGTGCCCTGTGTTCATAGGTAAAAAGCAAAAAACAAACAAAAAAAAATCTAAAACCTAACTCAAATATATTTCCTATAAAACACTATCTTAGCCTGAAGCAAAATGCAGGTTTAACCCATGACAAACATGCAATTAACCTCTGAATATGTAACCAGGACATTTCCATCTGGATAGTTCAAATAAGGCTACCATATAACTGGAACCAATTCTTGAATTTGGGTTGCTTTCTCATGCATCTTATAAAAGCCTTTCCTTTATGCCCCTCTGGTGGACCAGAAATCATGGCTGGGTGCTTTCCATTTCACCAATCACTCTTTGTTCAGATAAACTGATGAACCTTTTAACATAGACTCCCGTTAATTTTTAACAAGAGAGACTGGGGACCCCACGGGCCGCAGCTCCTCCCACGCAAACACCCAGTCGCGGTTTTTCCCTGATGACCCACCAGGCCTCCCTGAACAATCTGGGAAATACTCATGGCTGTGGGCGCAGAGCAGGGCGCTGCCCAGGGACAGGACCGGATGGGCCGGACGGGACGTGGGGGCCCTCGCTGCTGGCCCAGCGGCCATCTTGCAGCCACAGGGGACTGAGGGCCAAGCTGCGGGAGACTCGGAGCTAACCGTGGGGAGGCCGGTCCTGCCGGTTTCACAGTCTGTTCTCCCCTCTCGGGATGGCGAACCCCGTATACTCACCATTTCCCAGCTTCCAGGATGTCCTGGCACCTTAACTATGCGTCCCCAAGGACCTACAGATCACAGGGCAACAGGGGCTGTGAGAGAGTAGCCCGGGGCTCCCAAGGTGCAGGAGGCGAAAGAGGAGACGGATCCCAAGCTCTTGTGCCAGCACCAGCGAGAGACACAGATCCCGCCAAATGCAGGAAGCCACGCCCTCCTTTCCTCTCCTCTGCCACCGCGCGCCTGATTGGGCGGTTCCCACATCAGTGTCAATGACTGGATAAAACTCCAGGACGCACCCACCCGAGCCTGACTCCTGCCCTTACCCCCACTCCCCCTCAGCCTTAGTGCATTTTTGTTAGTTTGTTTTTCTTTAAGTTCTGGAATACATGTGCAGAAAGTGCAGGTTTGTTACATAGTTTTACATGTGCCATGGTGGTTTGCTGCACCTATCAACCTGCCATCTAGGGTTTAAGCCCCACATGCATTAGGTATTTGTCCTAATTTTCTCCCTCCCCTTGACCTCAACCCCTTAACAGGCCCCAGTGTGTGATCTTTGGTTCCCGGTGTCCATGTGTTCTCATTTTTCAACTCCCACATATGAGTGAGAGCATATGGTGTTTGCTTTCCTGTTCCCGTGTTAGTTTGCTGAGGTTAATGGTTTCCAGCTTCATTCACGTCCCTGCAAAGGACATGAACTCATTCTTTTTATGGCTGCTTATTATTTCATGGTGTAGATGTGCCACATTTTCTTTTTCCAATCTATCAATGATGAGCATTAGGGTTGGTTCCAAGTCTTTGCTATTGCAAACAGTGCTGCAATACACATATGAGTACATGTGTCTTTATGCTAGAATGATTTATATTCCTTTGGGTATATACCCAGTAATGAGATTGCTGGATCAAATGGTATTTCTGGTTCTAGATCCTTGAGGAATCACCACACTGTCTTCCATAATGGTTGAACTAATTTACACTCCCTCCAGCAGTGTAAAAGTGTTTCTATTCCTCCACAGCCTCACCAGCATCTGTTGTTTCCTAACTTTTTAATAACTGCCATTCAACATGGTGTGAGATGGTATCCCATTGTGGTTTTGATTTGCATTTCTCTAGTCTCCAGTGATGATGAGCTTTTTTCTTTTTGTGTGTTTGTTGACCACATAAAGGTCCCCTTCTTCTTCTTCTTCTTCTTCTTCTTCTTCTTCTTCTTCTTCTTCTTCTTCTTCTTCTTCTTCTCCTTCTCCTTCCTCTTCTTTTTCTATTTATTTTATTTATTATTATTATTATTATTTTTAAGATGGAGTCATGCTCTGTCACCCAGGCTGGAGTGCAGTGGAAGGATCTCGGCTCACTGCAACATCTGCCACCCAGGTTCAAGTGATTCTCCTGCCTTAGTCTCCCCAGAAGGTGGGATTACAGGCCACCCGCCAACACATCCTACTAATTTTTTGTGTTTTTAGTAGAGATGCGGTGTCGCCATGTGGCCCAGGCTGGTCTTGAACACCTGACCTCATGATCCACCTGCCTCCACGGCTGAAAGTGCTGGGATTACAGGCTTGATCAACCGTGCCCAGCCAAATATCTTCTTTTGAAAAGAGTCTGTTCATATTCTGTGCCCACTTTTTGATGGTTTTTTTTTTGTGTGTGTGTGAATTTGTTTAAGTTCCTTGTAGATTCTGGATATTAGACCTCTGACACATGGATAGAGTGCAAAAATTTTCTTTCACTCTGTAGGTTGCCTGGTCACTCTGGTGATAGCTTCTTTTGCTGTGCAGAAGCTCGTTAGTTTAGTTAGATCTCATTTGTCAATTTTAGCTTTTGTTGAGATTGCTTTTTGTATTTTATTCATGAAGTCTTTGCTCATGCCTATGTCCTGAATGGTATTGCCTAGGTTTTCTTCTAGGGTTTTTATGGTTTGGTGTTTTACATTTAAGACTTTAATCCATCTTAAGATAATGTTTGTATAAGGTGTAAGGAAGGGGTACAGTTTCTGTTTTCTGAATGTGGCTAGCCAGTTCTTTCAGCACCATTTGGTAAGTAGGAAATCTTTCCCCATTGCTTGTTTTTGTCAGGTTTGTCGGAGATCAGATGGTTGTAGATGTGTGATGTTATTTCTGAGGCCTCTGTTCTGTTCCATTGGTCTATATATCTGTTTTGGTATCAGTACTGTGCTGTTTTGATTACTGTAGCCTTGTAGTATAGTTTGAAGTCTGGTAACAGGATGCCTCAAGCTTTGTTGCTTTTGCTTAGGATTGTTTTGGGTTGACCGGCAAACAGGCTCGTATATTTGGGTTCACATGCCCAGAGTATCACAGCTAATTAAGACGTGAGCTGAGACTTGAAATGCACATGCTCTTTCCCTTACCTGGGTCTGTTGTATAATGCATCTTAGCAGCTATGTAACAGTAGGAATTAGAATATTTAGACATGTTTTTAGCAACTTTTTAACCTGCATTTTGGTAACGCGGTAAAGACCTTCATCCCGTCCTTGAGCCCCTCTCTCACAACACTGCACCCCACTGCTGACCACACTGTGGAGTGGCCATTAGGAATCAGGGGGGCAGCGGGGGCTGGAAATAAATAAGAAAGGATTATGTTGCCCAAATTTGCTCACCTTAGAAAGTCTCCTCAACCATTCTGTGTGAGGTGATTTTTCCAAGGTAATTGTGCCCTGACTGCGCTGGATGTCAGTGTGTCTTGTCTTTTTGAAAATCACTGGATTACTCTCATGAACGGGGTATTTCTCTTTCTATTTGAAAACGGTCAACTGTCCTCTGCAGGTGTCCTGATTTGCTAGTTGAGACCCTGAAGGTAGCGGTGAGAAAATATTTGGGCCACATCAGAATACCTATTCTCAGCTGGAGGATATATAGAAATTTCTTAATAATATCTAACCATTTTCTCAATAACCATTATATTTAACATTGATAGCTTGGAGGGCAGGGAAGGACACAGATGACACAATCTTCAAAGTTTAATTTATTTATAAGGTTTTTTTTTTGTTCTTGTTCAGTTTTGCTTAGTTTTTGGATACAAGGTCTTGTTCTGGTGCCCAGGCTGGAGGGCAGTGGCATAATGATAACTCATAATTTGGTTGTAACGGTTCTTTAAAATATATTTTTGCTGAGAGTGCTAGCTCACACCTGTAATGTAAACACTTTAGGTGGCCAAGGTGGGATTATCGCTTGATCCCAGGAGTTCAAGATGAGTCTGAGCAACATAAGTAGGCTCAGTCTCTAGAAAAAAATTAAAAAATTGTCTGGGTGTAGCTTTGCATGCCTGTAGTCCCAGCTACTTGAGAGGCTGATTTGAAAGCATCACTGGAGCCTAAGAATTTGAAGATGCAGTGACCCATGATTCAGCCACTGCATTGACAGAGTGAGATATGTGTGTGTGTGTCTGTGTGTGTGTATAAAGAATTTGTATGTGAAAAAAATTCAAGCACAGAATAAAAGTGAAAGCCCATGGTGGGGGATGTGGAGAAGGGTCAGTGTGGCTCCAGCACCTCAGTGAGACTTGGTTTTCCATCTTGAAGAATTGCCCATCCACACTGAAACCATAGCCTAACATATGCCAGTTCTCACACTACACCTGCTGGGATACCAGTATGTAGCCTTTTGAAAAAAATAAAATCTTTCACCTAAGAGAAGGACAAGAGAAAACGAGGGTTTCACATCTAAAGCCTTCATTTTCTTTATGAATCAACAGCCAGTTGTCATTTGAATTGTCCAGAGGCGACTGACAGCACCAATACACTTAATGAATCAACCAGGAAAAATGGGCCTCTCAGGTGAGGAGGAGGCACAATCGTCACAAAACCCAATCCATTCTCAGCTTTGCATGGTGCTCGCATCTCAAGAAGTGGTGTTAGCCATGTGAACCGTGTTCACTGGACAAGGCCAGAGGAAAGAATATTTAGTACAACACAACTATGGGGCTGCAAATCAAACTGGTAGTGAGAGCATGCATGAGGCTTCAGTGGCCGAGACACTGGTGGCTACCCTTCGGTGTCACTTAAACCTTTGAGGTGAAGGACATCTTTTTTCCCAACTGGCTCAGAGAAACCAATCAACATTAAAATTGAGATTTGTTTTTCTTTTCAAAATTTCTAAGACATAGAGGACTCTCTAACACTCCAAAAGAGATTCAGCTATACATGCAGCTGAGGACCTGCCTGCTCTGTAGAGGGATGGCAGAGCAGCGGCCACCAGCTTTAGTAGCTTTAAGCTCCTCTTCTCATAGGGACAGGCCACCCCCACACAACCCCCCTAAATTCATAGGCTCTGGCTGTCAGGTGCACCTGGGGGACTGTCTTCCTCCCATCTCATTAGCTCTCGAAGACAGTTCAGCTCAATCTAAAACCTACCTTAGGATGGTGAGTTGTAGGCTCTCCTCCATTCTCCCAGCGCAGTGTGACTTCTGGAGAGTGCTTCTCCATCCTCTTACCTCAGATGATGTGAAAAGAGCTGGTTCCCGGGTAGTTAGATGTTCAGTGACATAACAGGCCCAGCATGCGCAGGGCCTGGCCCCACAGCCTGGCACGTCTCCCCTACCTGGCCTTCACGCTGGACTTTTCTCTTCTGCCACAAATATCAGGTGATGATCACCTCTGCCACACTCTCATGAGCTTGGTAAGTAGCAGGGGTGTAAACCCCAACAGATTTCCTGTGACTCTACCCTCTTACCACACACTCAAGTGACATTATAAGCATACTTTTACATTTGATCTTATTTATGCATAATTTTTTTATAACATTTCTGACAACAGCCCACACAACGAAATGAGTCTGGCTTACAGAACACACGGGCGAGGCTGGGGTAGCATGTTTCAATTACTTTATTCCAATGTGAAATGAAGACTGATGATTTAAAAACAAGACAAAGTTGTTTATCAGCTGTGGGGTGGCTACACTTGCTACCTCATGCTCACTTCCTTTGAAACAAGGTATCTGGACAGACCATATTCATAAGTAGCTCTTCGCAAAACCCCAGACAGAAGCCCCAGTCAGACACAGCTCCCTCAGGCTCACAGGGCAGCAACCTCCTCCTCCATGTTAGGCTCTGACAGCAGGCAAGGGAAGAAGCACAGGCAGCAGGGGACAGGGAGGGTCCGGGACTGTAGGGATCCCCAAATGCCCCAGAAGTATTCTCTGTAGAAAGGCACACGCAGGTCTCACTGTGTCAGTGCAGTGGCTGAATCATGGGTCACTGCAGCCTCAAACTCTTAGGCTCCAGTGATGCTTTCACCTCAGCCTCTCAAGTAGCTGTATGGCAAAAAGCCTCCCATTTTTTTACTTAAAACCTGGACTTTAAGCCAGTTTGGACCTGGGGATAGTGGCAGCAAAAGCAGCAGCCAAATGTATACACTCCAGATGTCTACACTCATGGGCACAGGCATATTCCACACTTGCTGGAGCACGAGAGGCCTGAGAGGCACCTGTTTCCCAGTTGCTAACTGATGTCCATACACCCCATTCACGTGTCTTCATTTAGGTTTCTGCATAGTGTATTTGCTTAGCCACTGTAAACACATCTTCTGGGGGGCATCATTAATTGCAGCACCTGCCCCACTTGTTCTGGGAGGGAGTCAGGAGGAATCTGGTCAGCTCCTAATCCCCCAGGACAAAGGTGCTTCCCCCTTTTCAGCACTCACATCCAGCAATGCCATCTCTGGATGGGTTTTTCAAACACAAGCAGTATGAGGTAGCAAGAATGGTGTGACAGGCTCAGGGCCATGGGCAGCCGGTTGCTGGAGAAGCAGCACAGGGCAGGCACATCTGTGGGTGGCACCATGACAAGCCAAGGCAGCCACAGACCCTAATCCCAACAGCTCCAGCCCAGATGGCATTCAAATCTTCCCAGATAGTATTGGGGTACCCTATGCCCATCACTTGCCTGCTCATTAGCACGGCCTTGTTGGTTACTCAGGGACTAAGGAGAGAGGGTGGGGGATGTAGATCCAGGGTGGGCACCGCCTCACAGCCAGAGTCCACCTGACTGTAGGCCAGCAAGCAAGCCCAAGCAGCTCAGCTCTAGTCACCTCTGGCTGTACTTTATGTGTATACATTACATAAAGGTAGCAAACAGAGGTCAACAATAGCTGTTGTGACATGAAAGTCTATGCCTCATTAAGACCTTAAAATGCTGTTGTCTTAAGCTCTCTTTATTCTAATAAAATTTATACAAATAAACACATGCAAGCTGAAACTACTATAAATGAAATATTAGGATTTTTTAAACCCATAAACAGACACAAAGACAGTCACTGTTTGATTGCAGAGAAAGTGAGATTCTAAAGCAGCTGACCACAAAACAGCCTCACCAAACCCCAGGCAGGCCAGGCAGTCTGAACACTACAAGGCCACGTGATGGTCACAGAGGATGACAGCTCCCGTGAGTATTGCAAGGCACTGTGTTAGCTTCTCACTCACAGTCTCAGAATACCCTGTGAGGGGAGGCCCCATCTCACCAGAGCACAGGAGGTTCCTGAGCTCTTCCCAGAAAATGGTCATCAAACGATGGAGCAGAGGGAAGCCCAGACAGAACAAGTGAGTCCCTAGGGTCTCCTTAACCTCCCTCAGCTCCTCCACATGGGTCCCTGAGGGAAAGTGAGCAGCCTCCTAACCCCCTTGATAGGGTTCCAGTCCTGCAGGTCGGACTCTCTCATTTTATGCTACCATAGGGGGTGACAATGCAACCCCAGGCCCCTTATTTGCCATCCCTCAATGCCAGGCCAGGCCCAGAGCCCTTTGCTAACACAGCCCAGGAGATGCTCAAGGCCCACCTCGGCACAGTCACCTGTAGTGTACTGAGATGAGCAAGGAGGTGCAAGTAGACACAAATCCCCATGGGCTTGGCCTCAGCCATGTTCCACAGGCTCAGGGCCTCCCTGATGAGCTCACAGCCCTCCTTCAGGAAGCCTGCAGATCACACCCTCAGGGAGCAGTGCTCAGATGAGCAGGCAGGCCCCACATCCCCCACCCCATGACGCTCTGTTCCACTTTGCAGGCTTCTGCATTGGCCAGTCCCCACTGCTTTCTGGTGAGATGTCTGAGTTGAAGTGAATGTTGAAGGCCACAGAGCTGATGGAGCTCACTGCCTTGCACATGTTGTAAATCACCTCCTGGCTTCAAGGGTCAGCTGTGGAGACACAGCTTGATGGGAGGTAGGCCCACTCCACCGTCAGTAGTGCTGGGTTGCCCTGATCTGCACCTTCCAGGTCCTTCCTGAGATGTCTGCATGCTTCTCTAAGGGACTGTATCAAGAGGCACCCCTGGCAAGAGTCAGCTGGCAGAACAGGCTGGACACTCTCCCTCAGCCTCCCCAGCAGCCCCGCCTGTGCTGTCATCTGTGCTGATGATCTCCGTGGTATGATTATGGGAAATTTTTTAAAGCATCTTTTCCCCGTTCATTTCCCTATCTTAATAACAGCACTGATAACTTTTAAGCCCTAGCAAGCTGAAACTGCAAGACACATGATCTTCTGCCTTAGAAGGGCCATGTTTGGGCAGTGTGTGCCCAGGTGAGAGCCCCATGGTTGTTAGTGGAAGCGGGGAGCTGGATGGGCCCGGCCCCATAACCTAGTGAAAAGTGGGACCCTCTCCTTCCAGAGCATGGAAGTCTCAGAGGCTGGAAAAAGGTGCCTGAGTGGCCTGCCAAGAAGCAGAAGGCTAGAAGGCCTGGAAAGAACCCCAACAGCCTTCAAGCTGCCTGAGAGGGCTGGGCTCATTCCAGCTTTCTTTGCTTTCATCCTGTTAGCAAGAAAACCTGCTCACAGATGGCAGGCGGGCCTGAGGCTGCCATTCCCTCATCAGGGGCTATAGGCACCTTTAATGTGGCTCTTTCTTGAAGCAGCTGCTCAGGCCGGTTCTCGAAGAGCAGTTCCCTCATTATCCACAGGTCCTTCTTCCAGCCCCGTGCCTGCAGAGGGACTAGGGAGGGAGAAAATCTCTCAGCCTGTGCCCCACAACCTGCTTTGAGACATCTCTTTTGTTACTTCCTCACAGACAGCCTGAAACTTCCAAATGAACAGACCAGAATGGAGCCTCCAGGAAAGTGTACAGAATTCTGTCTAGTACCCAGAAGGAAGGGGGTTCCCAGTGAAGGCAGGGCCAGGCTGCATGCACCTCTTCAAAAATATTCTCCTCATAGTCCACCCTCAAGGTGTACATCCTCTGTGTGCTTGCAGTCCATGGCAGCCTCTGCCTTGGGAACCGTCCAGCTGCACACCTGCAATATGGTGGTGACCCTCTTGAATGGATGGTTCTGGGCCCCATTGCAGGCAGCAGATAGGGAGATGCTCAGCCCATCAAGCCCAGAGCCCTGCCACAGGCTTCTTTGAGGCCTCCACCTGCTCTGGGTTCTTGCCCTGAGAGGCTGCCCTGAAGTCAAACAGAAGCAGGTGGGACTCTCTTCCACAGCTGCTCTCTCTCCCACTGACAGCTCCCTAGAGGGTAACTCAGACAGAGAAGATAGAATTCTCAGGCAGAAGGACAGGAGTTTCGGCTGCCGATTCATTCCATACCCCCACATGACATGACACAAGGCAGGGGCTGTGGGACAAAGTCATTGCCTTTCCTTCTGGCATGAGGAATGCCTTAGGAAGCAGGTCTGGTGGGGCTAGGGTTGAGCGATAGGCTTCAGACCACAAGGAGTGGATGGACACTGAGCAAGTATCCTGGTTATCTGTCCACAGATCCAGAACAAGTGGCATCCCAGGAGCCTGGGAGGGGCTGGCAGAGACTTACTGTGTCCAGCAAAAGCCCCATGTGGATGCGGTAATGCTGCCTGCTGGTCCTTGGCTGTAATTACAAACAGGTACATGAGGTCCCCATGGATCTTGCAGCTCTCAGGGAGTGGGTTCCAGCTGCTCATGGTAGGCACTTTTAGTCACTGAACGTGCTTCAGGAATGGCCAAGCTTGATTAAGCCAGGCGTCTTGCTGTGAGACCCTCCACCCAACTGAGGACCCTCTTCCTTGTCCCCCCTGACAGTTTACCTTCCAGTTCTGGTTCTGGAGACACGATGGCCCTTCTTGGGCCCCTGGGAGAATGTGCTCAGATGACACACAGTCGACAGGACCCATTTCCAAGCCATTCTTCCATTTCCCACTGTTTGAGGGGCCGAGGCCGGTGATCAGCACAGGGCCACCCAGGGCCAGCTGTCTGCACCTAAACGTCATGTTGGTCTGGATGTCTCAGGGCCAGAACTCTCCAGGTAAGATGGCCTGGTCCTCAGCACCTGGCCTCCATGCTCCTTTTTCCTCTGTTCAATCCTGGCCCCAATGCCTCCCGCAACTCTCAGGTCACCATTGGAGAAGATGCTCAGGAAGAACAAGGAGCTGCAGTCAACCCTGCTGAAGGTGGCATATGGGTCCAGGCTCTTGAGCTGGTCTTTGACATGGTACATGTGGATGCAGGCTTTGAGCAGTGTGAGTAGCTCTTTCCGGAAGGAGGGGAAAACGGTGTTACCAGGGTCCTACACCCTAGAACGACCCATCTAGCACAGAAAACAGTTTGCAACGTGCTATTATGTGTGATTTTAATTTTGGGCTTTAGGCTTTCATTTCCAAATTCCACAATAAACACATAAGGTGGAGTTCTGATTTCAACACACACACACACACACACACACAAGCACACACACACATTCTCTCTCTCTCCCTCTCTCTTAGAATCTTCCAGTGCATTCACACTGAAAGCCGAAGTCCTCCCAGAATCTTGTGAGAACCTAAATGATCTGAATAGTTTGTCATTGCTTTTGGGGATCTGGGAAAATCTCTGCACATTTCTGGACACCGCTGTTATGCCATTTTTAATAAATCTGTTGTGCTTCAATTCAGAAGTGTGTGAGGGGAGTTGTGGAGGAATTGGCATTTGGGTTAGAAATTCCAGGAACAACAGAGACAGATGACACCTGTTTTCTGCTTCATAATGTCAAGTTTTATGAAGGCTAAAACCTAATTCTACAAAAAAATTAGACTGAAAAACTTTATAGGCAAAAATTATCTTATTAAATAGGAAAATCTAATTATTTTATTTTAAAATTTTCTTTTCTTTAGTAGGACCTAATCATAGAAATTTAAACACTGTATGCCAACAGCCTCTACTGTAGGATGGTTTATTGTAAGTACTCATTTTACAGATTTCTTACAAAAACTTTTTCCGTAAGGGAAATTAGAATATTGTTCAACATATATTGAATTCACAATTATTACCTTATTTCTCACTTATTATTTTATGATTCTGTTTTCTTTAATATGAAGATTACTATGACTGTGTTTTCACTTTCTGAATGATCATGTGTCACATTTTTCTGTAATTTCAGTTTGAGAAGTTGTAAAACAGCATGCTCAAATGTATATGTTATGTATCAATTATATAATTAATTATTAAAATATTTGGCTTGTATGTTTAATTGACTCTAGGCACAATATTACTATTAGCATTTTCTTCCAGTTTTCCCAACTTTTATTTGACTAATAGTACAATTTATTTCCAGTTTTTATTTTATCTGTCAATGTTTTATACTGTATTTACAATATTTATATTGTTACCATATGTAAAAATGTAAGACCTTTCTATTAAAGGCTAGATTACAGCCTTACCCTTTTGTGTAAGGAAAGAAGCAATGCATCAGTAGCATAATTTAAAACTTTCTCTAGTATTACTTAAATTTTTATTCCTTAAAACTTTCTCATCACATCTCTTTTTAATAATTATAATATGGTTTCTTTGAAATGTTGTTGCCCTAATTGTATCCAAATAATTCAAAATTTATACTTTTTATGGATTCAAAGGAAGAGTTGAAAATTGTAGTTACCTAGGATTCTTTTTCAGTTGGACACTATGTTTATTCAGGATTTTATAGATCAAAGTTTCTCTTAATTATGTTTTAGAATTTATGTTTCTGTATTTTTTAGAGTAGGCTGTCTCACAGCAGTTAATTGTGTTTTTACTTTCTACCTATTTATTATGATTTTGAATTACATTATTCAAGTAAGAATTCGGGGAAGGTTTCTTTTAAGTTTGTTTTGCAATTTTGCATTTCTGTGTTTCGTGTTTTAGGGTAGGGCACCTTACATCAGTTTATTGTTTTTAGTTTGAATTTATATAATATAATTTTCTATGACAATATTCAAATCTGTACAGCTTAAGACAGTGTGAGGCAAAAAATATGAACCATCCCTATGGTCTTTTGTTAATATAATGATTTAATTGTTTGTTTGCTTGTATAAATATTGCCCCTATTTTGTTTATGACTTGTGTTATTTTCTTCTTGTTTGATGGACAATAATTGATTCTGTCTAAGTGAGTAATCATGGAAATTGTCTTAATTTCAACATCTATTGTTTATATTATCCTAGTGTGAAAGAAAGACTTATGCGATTTGAAGATAATTTTTCAAAAACTTTGTAACTCTCTCTCTTCAGGTGTCTTTACTTATTTATTTATTTTTTGACAGACTCTCACCCTGTCGCCAAAGTGCAGTGGCACAATCTTGGCTCACTGCAACCTCCACCTCCCAGGTTAAAGCAATTCTCCAGCTGCTGCCTCTTGAGTAGCTGGCATTAAAAGTGTGCACTACCACGCCTGGTTAATTTTTGTGTTTTTCATAGAGCTGGGGTTTCACCATGTTGGCCAGGCTGGTCTTGAACTCATGGCCTCAAGTAATCTGCATGCCTCAGCCTCCCAGAGTGCTGAGATTACAGGCATGAGCCATCTCTCTTGGCCCTTGGGTGTCATTTTTAATTTCGATTGTGGTAAAAATACATAACATAAAATTTAGAATCTTTAATATTTTTTCTTATACAGTTCAGTCATGTTAATGTATTTACATTGCTTTGCAACATATTTGTAAAACTTTTTTCTTTTGCAAAACTGAAACTCAGGACACATGAAATGACAACTACCCATTTTCCTTACAACCTGGCTCCTGATAAAAATCATTCTATTTTCTGTTTCTAAGTTTCAATACTTTAGATATTACATATAAGTAGAATCATAGAGTATCTGTTTTATTGTGACTAATTTTACTTAGCATCATGTTCTCAAGATTTCTCTTTATTGTGGATGGTACAAGATTTTCTGCCTTTAAAAGCTGAGTAATATTCCATTACTTTTGTATTACAAATTATATTTATTTATTCATTCTATGAGGAAAGTTTGTGTTGCTTTCACCTATTGGCCTTTGTGAATAATGCTGCAATGAATATTGGTATGCAAATAGCTATTTGCTCATATGTGTGAGGTTTACATGTGTGCTACCTTCTGTTTTATTGGAAAAATTGTCTGTCTTTATGCTAGAAACAAACTGTTTTCATTGCTGTTGCTTTGTAATGTGCTTTGAAATCAGAAAAGTTGAGGCCGCTAACATTGTTTTTTTTTAAAACATTTTTGGGCTCTTTATGGTCGCTTGACATTCCATATAATTTGTTGGTTCCTTCTTCTATTTCAAAAACATTGCTAATTTAAAAGGGATTGCATTGAATCTGTAACTCGCTTTAGGCATCATGAGCATTCTTCATAATATCAAGTCTTACAACCCTTAAACATGAGCATGCTCAAAAGTGAGTTGTTTAATTTCCATATATATGTTGCTATTTTTGTTTTCATCTGTTATTCATTTCTAGTTTTATTCCATTTTGATCAGAAATAATAGTCACTGAAAGGCTAAACCACTCTGGGAAGTGACCCCCATTATAGAACATTACAAAGAGATGTGAGGGCACCACTTCTGCCCTGATGGGCTAGAGGGATGTGTTCTCTGAGATGACACGTTGCAGACAAATGCAGGGAACAATATAACCCCCTTTTCATGTAAACTCTTCCCTATTTTTCTAGAGTATTAGTGATAGTGGTGGCTTTGAAGTCTTGGGGAAGGTCTGGCAGTGCCATGAAGCTGCCTGCTACAGGTGATACCAGGGGGGAAAAATTAAAACCATACAAACTGTAGTAACATGAATAAATACAGCCTAGTGTAAAGTAAAAACAACACAAAGGCCTTCTCTGATATTTCTACAAGAATGTAAAAAGGGACTTTACACTTAACCAAGCTGCCTTTGGGACTAGTTAAGGCTAGATTTTTGGGAGGCAGATCTTTGGGTCACTCATGGAAATCCCCTAAGAGAGAGCCCAGAGAAATTCCATATTTGGGTCTGGATCCTGGGCCCATCCTGGTTTTGTCAGATCCCTGTCTGTAGAGACCCCCATGTGCCTGCTCTCACCGTAACTCACTGTATGCCATGCTTGGGGGTGTGGTGAACCTGCCAGTTGTCCAAGGAGATGGGGGACTTGAACCCATCAAATATCTGCTCAATGATTTCAATGAAACTCTACAAAGAGTGTTCCCAGCAGCGAAGCAGAAAAAAAAAAAGAAAAAAGAAAAAAAATTAATTATCTCCTTTGTTTTTACCACCAGGTGACATCTCCATTAGAAATTCTGTTTCCTAGATCAGGAACATAGGAGTATCTGCATAGACCCCCAGCCAATGAGGAAACCCGAGGACAGCTTAAGGCCTTGGGATTCACATCTGAGTAGACACACTTGGTCCACAATGCTCAACTTTTTATTCCACCAGCCATGACCTGGGTACGAACATGACATACCTGCCAGGGTTCCAATGCCTTACAACCTGCCCCTGTGAGAAAGAGCCCCCTCCTTTCCTGCTCCCCCTGCAACACATGATAATGGTAGGCAGGGTCGGGTTGCCCAGATTAGATGAGACGGTTGGCCTGGCATGGACGGACCTGACCTGGGCTTCACTGTGTTACCTGTGTTTGCCTCTTGTCGAATGGCCAGTGGTATCAAGGATGTGGGCTGATCCAATATGTATATTGCCAGAAAAAGCTCTCACTTTGAGCCTTTCTCAGGCAACAGATTAGGAATATAGCACACAATGAGAACACAGTGATCTCTCAAGCATCTCCCATGAAATTAGCTAGATACAGGGCTGTCTCTAGAATGTGGGTGTCTGGTTCCCAAAGTTCTAAATTCTGTTAGGTTCTGTCACAAGGGAAGTCTGTTAACTTCTTCAAGGTTTTATCCCCTGAGCACTTTTCCTCCATAAATCTATGCGAAGGCCCTGCTGGGCTGCTGATTGCTCACCCTAATCTCCCATGTCAACTCTTTTCCTGTAAACAGTTATGCAAACACAATTATGCCCCTTACTCCCCAAAAAGATCTAAATACAGCCAGGGCCCCAGGTTTGAGAGAACAGAGTTGGGTTAAAATCTTCTTTTCCTTTTCATTTCTGTGACCATATGAAAATGACTGTGTGCTTCCGGTCTCCCCAGCCCTGAAGTATGCATAATGGGATTATGCTAACATCAACTTCCAAAAACAGTCTTTGGTGATATATGAGATAGAATGAATCAAAATCAGTTGGATGCAGTGGCTCTTGCCTGTAATCTTAGCAGATTGGTAGACCAAGGCGACGGGTGGAACACTTAAGGCCAGGGGTTTGAAACCAGCCATGGCCAGCATGGCAAAAACCCTTCTCTACTAAAAATCCAAAAATTAGCCAGGTGTGTTGATGCATGCCTGTAATCCCAGCCACTCAGGAGGCTGAGGTGTAAGAATCACTTGAGCCCAGGAAGCAGAAATTACATTAAGCCATGATCGTGCCTCTGCACTCCAGCCTGGGTGACAGAGCGAGACTGTGTCTCAAAAAAATATATATACTATATATATATATATATATATATATATATATATATATATATATAATATATGTATATATATATAATATATTTATATATTATATATAATATATAAACTTATACATATACACCTTTATGTATAAAAGATACATATTTCATATATCTGTATACATAAAAGATATATATTTTATATATATGGCCTTATTTTTCCATTCTACAGCAGAAGAGGTTGAAATCAAAAGAAAATCAGATACTGTCTTCTGGCATTAAATATTCCAGTGCTGTGCATTATATTTGGAATCACATGTATATGCCTCATCTCAGCCTATGTGGTGGGCACCCCCAACAAAGTCTCACAACAACACTAAGTTGTGAGTGACTCTGTTATTTAAAAACGCAGCTCACCGCTCAGTGCCTCAGAAGCCGATACTATAACACCGGGTTTCCAACAAAGACATTGGATTCCAGCTGAAGCCTCTTTCCCTGTGCTTACTTAAAGGTAGTAATATTCTCAGAAAGGTTTAGGAGGTGGCTTCTTGTTTAGCAGGGAATTGCTGAAAGGAAAAATGTATGGAAAGTCACTGGGCATGAACAGCCATCTTTTCTTGCTACACACAGGTCATGTGCAAATTTGGGGACAGTTAGTACAAAACATGTGATGGAAATTTGGGCTCTTACATCAGTGAGCTTATTTCACACAGACTCTAGTTGACCATATTGGTTCCGACCAATTTTAGCCACTTTTTAGAAGTCTCATAAGTGGAATAAATTTCAGTCTTTCGACAAGTTCTATCTTTTCTTATCCGTCATTCTGCAAACTGAAGAATTTCTGCTAGTCATTGGTTGAACTCTTTGGGGACCTGTTTCTAGTTTCTGTCAAAGAGAATACAACAAATGTGATAGGTTATCACTTCTGACTTAGTTCAGACTTCTATACCAAAAAACATAGACTAGGCAACTTATAAACAAAAGAATTTAGTTCTGGAGGCTAGAAATTTGAGATAGGCTTCCAGCATGGTTGGGGTCTGGTAAGGACTCTCTTGTGAGTTTCAAACTCCAGACTTCAGGTTGTATTCTCATTTAGCAGAGAGAGGGAGAGACAGCCTTCTGCAGTTTCTTTTACAAAGCCGGTAATCGCTATCATGAGGTCCTCATGCTTTGGACTTAATTACCTCTGACCTGCTAAGGCCATTACACTGGGGATTAATGTTCTGGAATGTGAATATGGTGGGGAATCACATAGTCTACTGCAACTTCCAAAGTTATATTTCTAAAACAGCTATTATTTTCCTCCCACTTGCTCTGTCCTGTGCGTCCTCTCTCAATCTCTCTGTCTCCCTTTCTCTTTTTCTGTGCATACGTCTGTCTATCTCTTTCATTTTCCATCTCTGTATTGTAATCCTCAAGATGAGGAAGCGATCTCCAGTGTCCTAAGATGCTCTAGGCACAGACCCACATGATAGAGAACTGAAGAACTGCCCAGGCCAATCAAAAGAAAGAAACTGGGGTTCTCAGTTCACACTGAATCTTGCCAATTTCCATGAGGCAGATTGGAGGCTGATCTCTCCCCAAATCCAGCTTCAGTTGAAATCACAGTCCCAGCCTCATAGGGGACCTTGAGGCAGAGGCACCCAACTAAGCTATATCGAGATTCTGGTTCACAAAAGTTGTGAGATAGTATTTGTTGTCAAAATGTGCTAAAATTCAGAGCAATGTTGTCACAGACGGGCAAATGACTAACCTCCTCTTTCAGGCCCCAGGATACACCCTCCCCTCTGTTCCTTTCTTTCTCAGGCTGCCTGCAGCCACACTTGTCCCGTTATAACCTCCTCTGCTAAACTGACTTGTGCCTCTGAGTCTTTTCACAAAGAGTGGCTTTTCCCTGACACACTTTCCACACCTGCGCAGTTGTCATTCTCATCACAACATAATGCCAGCTCAGTGAGGTATTCATGTCCCCTCCAGGCAACCTCTCTCCAGCCCTCCCTCCCAACATTCTACTTTATTTCCATTATAAAATGCTCTTTTCTTTCGCATGTACTTGCTTTAGTGTTTTTGTCCTGCAGTCCTCAGACTGTAGGCTCCCCGCGGGGATGCAGGGATAACATAATCGTTTTTGGTACCACATGGTGAACCTACCAAGGTAGCTGCCACAGGGTGAGTGCTAGGGGAAGAGCCGCTGAGTAAAATAACATGGAAAATCACAAAGTCTTTCCTGCTTTCGGTCACCCAATAATGTGGAGATCAAGAATGATAACAGGAGCTGCAGGCCCTCAGCCTGTCTCTCCCCCGGCTCCAGCTACTCCAGTAAAGTCCAGCGGGCACAAGAAACACGGGGTCTGCCGCCACCTAGAGGCCTCCGCTAGCACTGAAGTCCCAGGCAGAAGCATCACAAAACAGGTACCTGCACTGGGGAATTCTCAAGGCAGTGGCTCTTCAGGGACCCCTGGGAAAAGGAGCAGTATCTGAAGGCTCCAAGGGCCATAAAAGTGACCTCGGAAGCCTCCCTTGATTCCTATTTTCCTCAGCCTCGTTGGGTGTGCTGTGCACTCATTAAACATTTTAACAGCATTCGGCGACATTATTTTCTTCCACTTCCGAATGAGGACCTCAAGGACAGCCCAAAAAACTAGTATTTTTTTCTGGGCCCCACACTCCAGAGCCCAGTGCATTGTCACATTGTGCTTTATTCCAAGTCCTCATCCGCCCAAGTCTCTAGGCCTCTCTCTTCTCTGAAGGACCTCTAGAAACTGAAAAGCCTCTTCCCAGAGTCTCAAAGCACAGTGATTTACCAATGAAAAGCCAAGGGCGGCAGACACCTATGAGTATCTAGAATCCTTGGTATTATTCCTTCTCAGTACCCCTATTTATGAGGGAGAAAACAAAGGCTTTCTTTCCCGTAGCCTGTCTTTATATCACACGGGGTGGTGGGTGGAGGGCATAGCTCATTTTAGTTCCAGGTGCCCACAGAAGTGGGAGTCACAACCCCAGTCCTGTCCTCTTGAAACAGCTGGGAAAGTCCCCAGGCTTGGAAGAACCCAGGGAACCTGGAGGATCCTTCATCGCATGCTGTCAGCTCCTGGTCATGTAGCTGGGGGAGTGGATGCCTCTGCCTCATGGCAAAGCTGCATCTACTGTTTCTTCCCCTTTTGTCACTTCTTTGGTTTCCTCTTCCCTAACCTCACTTTAGAATCTCCACTTTAGATCTCCACTTTAGAAGCCTGTGTGTGTGTGATGTGTTTGTGTGTGCATGCCTGCACGCCTATGTGACAACATTGAAGAGTAGAAAGCCCAGGTAGAAAGTAGAGCACAGGGTTTTCCAGGACTCATGGGCTCTCATTTCCAAAGCAAACCTGATGGGTGGGGTGCATGCAAGGCCTAGGAAGCTGGATCCCTCCCTAATACTCTGTGCTCTGCCCAATTTCTGGGATCTGGACCAGTCTTTGCCTTTTTGGGAGGTCTCAGTCTTCCTGTTGTAAAATGAAGAGTTGGCTACAAAACTGTATGAGCACATGCTCAGTGAAGACAGGGTGTCATGCTCAATACCACAGAGAATATTGGGATGGGGAAAGTTTGGGCAGACTTAGGTGTCCATGCGTGCTCAGGCCTCTGAACAGGGCCAGTGCAGGCAAACATAAAGCACGGCACAGCCAGGTTTTCTTTCCAGGGCTACAGGATGAAACAGTGCACCACAGGATCTGCTCTTGAGGTCGGTCCCGCAAGATTTTCCCACCTTCAACCAGCAACTGTTTGATGAATTTCATGTCCTGTGAAGCCCATATCCACCCCCATTACAGTGAGGGGCACAGGGCACTAGACCTGTAAAATAATGTCTTTTGCCTTTTTTTCTTTTCTTTTCTTTTTCTTTTTTTTTTTTAATGAGTGGATGTTTCTTCTTTCTCCTTTTCTGTTTTGTTTGTTTTTTAACTAATTTTTAAGAGGTCTTTACAGGTCAGCTCTGGTGCCTCGCACCTGTAATTTCAACACTTTGGGAGGATGAGGCAGGTGGATTATTTGAGGTCAGGAGTTCAAAACCAGCCTGGCGAACCTGGTGAAAATCCGTCTCTACTAAACTTACAAAAAAATTAGCGGGGAATGGTGGCCCAAGCCTGTAGCCCCAGCTACTCAGGAGGCTGAGACAGAAGAATTGCTGAAACTTGGGAGGCGGAGGTTGCAGTGAGCCGAGATTGCACGACTGCACTCCAGACTGGGTGACAGAGTGAGTCTCTGTAAAAAAAAAAAAAAAAGAGAGAGAGAGAGAGAGGGAGAGAGAGAGTGCTCTTCATGGAAACATGAGCCCCTTTGTAATTTCATGTGTTGAAAATATTTATTCCAATTTTGCAATTTCTTTTCTTATTGTGGTGTTCTCTTTAAGTTTGGTTTAGATGTTATTAGTGTTTCTCCCCAAATTGATTTATTGATTTCCATTTTCACAATACAATATTTTGGCAGAAATCTTGTGGAAACTGTCTAATCAGTTTAAAATTTTAAATACATATTAAAAAATCAAAGAACTGTAAAAACTGTCCTGAAGAATGACAAAGTTTGTGAGCTTACAATGCCATATATTCAGACTTAGATTAAAGCTATAGTAATAAAAGCTATCTATGGTAGTAATGAAAAAATAGGCACAAAGAAAACTAGAAAAACTCGAGAGTCCAACTCAGACTCACACATTTAGACATTTTGTATATTACAAAACAGGCACAGAAGAGCAGTGGAGAGAAGACAGCATCTCGGTAATTAGCCTTGGGTCATCTGGTTATTTATGTGAGAAAGAAATGAACCTATCTTATATTGTTAACAAATTTCGAGACAAGTGGATTTTAAATTTTAAGGTGAAAATTGAAAACAATATTTCTAGTAGATAACATAGATAAGTATGTCCATGACTTTGGCACAGGCCAAGATTTCTTGGGACACAAAATGCATAAATTATCAAGACAAAAATATGACAAATTGGACTTTATTAGAATTAAAACCTTCTCTTCATAAAAAAAAAAAGCTTCAGGAGAGCTGAAAGGCAAGAACAAAGTGGAAATCAACATTTGTCATATATTGATCTGGCAAAAGCTTTTTATCTAGATTATTAAGCTAAATCCCATCACTTAATAAACAAAGATGCATACATTGAACAAAATTGGCAAAGATATGACTAGGAGTTCCACATACAGAACCGAAGGGCCAACAAGTAGATGAACATATCCACATTCTTATGCATCAGAACAATGCATATGAAAACTACAATTGAATACCACTATGCAATCATTAACATTTTTGAAAACTGACAAAATTAAGTACTAGTGATGATGTCAAGCAACTGGAACTTTCTTATACCATTCTGTGTGCAAACTGTTATAACCACATTCAAAACCACTTGAGTAGTAACTCCTTACATACACGATGTACATAAGCACACTCTAGAACCCAGCAACTCTGCTACTAGGTATATACACCCAATAGAATTGCCAGCATATTTTCCAATGTAGTAAAGTGCTCGAAGTAGCATTATTTGGTACTTTTCCAAACTGAAAAAAACTCAAATGTGCATCAATAATAAAATAACTAAATAAAACAGCTACATATTCCTTTATAAGGGGACATTATACAGATATAAAATTAATTGGAGACATATTAAAATATACAAAAATCTAACAAATACAATTTAATTAGATTTAAAAGTCCTATCCACAGCAATCGGCCAATAGAAAAGAAAAAGGCATACAAATAGAAAAAGAAATTGAATTCTCTTTCTCCATTTGCAATATGAGTCACTACGTAGAGAATGCTAAAGCCTCTCCAAAACTACTTTTGGGGAAAACTTGAAAAGCCTCCTGAAACGGATAAGCAAGTAAAGTTTTAGGACACAAAACCAATGTACAAAAATCAGTAGCATTTCTATGCATCAACTACTTTGAATTCCTGAACATCTTCTGGTTTTATTGCATTTTCAATTTTTTCCCTCCATTAACTATACATTTTTTCTTTTCTCAGCTAAACTAATTTATTCTTCTGTATAATTTCACCTTGTTAATAAACCCCAGGCCAAAAAGTGGGAATAAAGTATTTGTCTGCATCCTGTTTCCTCATTTTGAAAACTAGTCTAGATGAAACCTATACTTGTTCTAGGGAGTTGGCATAGACAGCATTTATTTCCATTCTCAGCAGTGATGCCAGCCAGAAAGAGGGAGTTCCCCATTTTCACTTTGGTTAGACAGGACTCTGGATGGTTGAAGGGGAAAAGTTTCAGACTCTAAGGGAGCCAAATAGGATATTACAAAGATTTATGCATTTACTCCGGGAGCAATTATTGTGTTAAATTTTGTGCAAAACACTGCGCAAAGAGCAATTAAAGTGAAAATTATTAAGGCATTACCTTTACCTTGGGAAACTCACACTAGTCAGATTCTCCGAACCCCAGAACTTAACAACAACCTAGTAAAATCTTGTTCAGAGTGAAGAGAGGGTGGGATCAGGAAGGTAAGTTTAAAAATTAGGCTGGGTGAATGAGATAATTACCCCTAGTAATGCATTGGAAGTATGGATGGCTTTGGGATGGGTGAAGACAAAAGAATCTCAGCAGAGGGTGCAGATAAAAAAGGGCAGAAACACAGGAGGCTTATGCAGAAAGAGGAATGAGTTTGCTGGACTGGGGAGAGTGACAGTAAAAAGCAGAGGATAATAGTCCTCTGTGGTCATCTAGGGACTATAGGATGGATTAGTTGGGGGTTACAAAATCAGTGAGGTACTTTTTAACAGTAGGATGGATAAAGAAGAGCTATATTTTGGAATACTTATGTAGCAATGGTGGTTAGGAGCAATAGAAACTCAAAGTATTACATAAATATGTTTTTTTCTTATTCTCCCACACAAGCCTTTCGCCTTCCCTCTTAAACTGAGAACGGAGTGGTTTGCTATGATGTTTTTAAATTCTCACAGACAAGCATTACTCTGTGCTGCCTTTTAATAAAGGCTAATTTTAACCAAATTAAAGAAGATTGAATGGATTTTCTTGCTTATAATGGTTGAGTACAACATCTCTTACCTTCTACTAGTTTTCAGTATAACTGAAGTAACAGAATGTCAATACTCCATGGAGGGGTGTTCCTATTGCTAAGGCTCCCTCCTCTGGGCTAGGCCTTCTACACCATGGCTGTCCTGCTGTGGCTGGAGCTGGAATTTGGATTGACCTCTGTGTGTCTTCCTAGCACACAACAGGTGTCCAATTAGCATGGGCAGAATCAAGCTCCTCCCTCTCACCATTTATTTCTCCATTTGTCCCTTGTTGGGAATGGAGAGTCCTGCCACTGAGTTCAGCCCAGGGTTGAAGTTCAAATCTCAGCTGATACTTGGTGGATGTTGACTTTTTTGAGAAGAACTTGGGAGAATAAAACATTATAAAGGCGCTGGCCAGGCACGGTGTCTCATGCCTGTATTCCTGGCATATTGATTGGCTGAGGAGATAGAATTGCTTGAGGCCAGGAATTTGATACCAGCCTTGTCAACATAGTGAGACCCCATTTATACAAAAAACTTGAAGCATTAAAAACATTTAGCCTGGTGTGATAGTTCCAAACTGTTGTCTCAGCTATGCTGGACATTGAGGCAGAGGATCACTTGAGCCAGTAGTTCTAGGCTACAGGGAGCTATGATCGTGCTGCTGCATTCCAACCAGGGCAACTATGCAAGATGTTTCAAAAATAAAATCTTTTATTATTCTTCACCCCTATAGTCTCTCCAGAACTTGTGCACTATGTAGCAGAAAGAATCAAACTCCCCAAGAGTTTGGTTCTTGCTTATGATTTGGTTTTCTGCTGCTTGGCTGCCCCGTCATGTCCCCATTTTGTATAAATAAGAACCCCCAGGTGAAGTGGAGTTTCTCCCCAGCAGAGGGTCTCACCAAGGCCCCAGGACTGGCACTTTAGGTGGAGGCTTGCCTTTCAACCTCTGAATAATAATTGATACTAAAATTGAGAAGTTTTCCAGACACCAGCTTCCTGAAAGGAGCACTCAGTCGAGACAAGATGAGGTCAGTAGCGAAGGTGACTCAGGCTGAGTGGGCCGTACATTCCTCTACTTTTCCCAAACTTCCCTCTGACATCCTCCAAACTTTCTGTCTTCCCAGGACTTTCTTGCCAGGGAGTCTAATGAAGTAAAAGCTTTAAAATTGCTTTGATTTTAAAAATAATTTTATTGGTTCTTAAAATGTACTGTTAAATATTACTGTTTTTCTTCCCCCAGGGGCTACGTGAACATAAGCTCATTTTTCACACTAGCAGCATTTAGAAATGTCTCTTCTGGAGGAACACTGATGCTCTCAAATCACACGTGGTAATTCTCTCCTCCAGGCACAAAATGCAGTCTCAGCATCTCTGTATCAGGAGTCACTGTCTAAGAGTCTCTCCAGAGAAATAAGCTACCCAGGCCATCCAGCTGCTGGTGAGTTGCTTTGTGGTCATGAACTGGGTAGATTTCCTCATCTCTTGCTCATTGGCCACATTCAGGATTAATGATTCAATGCTTTTGTTGTTCCAGAAGCTGTGGTCAGTGGCTATGCAGGAATCAGTCTTTCAGTGCTGATCTTTGCTGAGAAAATAATAGTATTGTTCAAACAGTATATAGGATTTGCACTCAATATTTAATAATTTAGTGACAAAAACCTCTTAAATACACATTATACTGATATAAAATAAGTTATTCATCTATTACCAAATTTACTCTTTTATTTAATATAACCCTTGGGATAACATTTTCTTTTATGCTTCCATAAATATGCTTCACATGGATATATCACATATTGTGTATAATTTCACACAGTGTTAACATAGTTTCCATCTATTTAGATGTTTGCACATTTATTTTATCTCAATGTTTGTTCTCAGGAAGAGTATTTTTCTTCATAAACTAAATTTTCAGCAAATTTTAAATGCATTTCACTGACATAATTATAGTGTTTACATTGTATTTGTGTATTAAGTTACATTTTGTCCTTAAACCTGAAAATAACTTTTCGAATATATGTAATTTTAAATTTACATGTTTTTCCCTCAGAACTTTTAAAACCGTAACCTATTGGATTCTTGATCTTATTCACATATTGAGAAATGTGTTTCTTTTCATTGCTTTATAATTAATTTGAATTTTATCTTAGATAGCTTTACGTGATTTTCTCTATTATGGTATTATGCTTTTAACTATTGTTTTTCTTTTGATCAGAATGCCTTTAAGCTATTATAATTAATTATTTTAATAATTATATATTTTTATTCCCTATTTGACATTCACTCCATTTTATTTATTCAAACTTGCACTTAAACAACATGACTTATTCTAGATTTTTATGTATTTTAATTTTTCATATTGTTTATTTGTTTTATGCCTATTGGGACTTCTAAATATTCACTTCATCATATCTTCTAATTCATAATTTCTTTTTCAATTATGTAATTTTTCTATGTATTCTATCCTTTAAATTTAAAATTTTTACCTAATTATTTTGATAATATACCTTATTTTGATCTTACTTTTAAACTTTTCCTCTAATATATTTAAACATTATAACTACTTATATTATTTCTACAGTATATATACAATTTTGGGATTTATTAAGATGTAATGGTACAGCTGTGTTTTTCTTATAATTTTATTTCTTAATAACTTTGATCTTGATGACTTTAACTTTGTATATTTTAAAAAGAATAGTAGACTTCATTTTATTATAAATGACTGACCTCAATTGATGGGGCCATAGAAGATTCTGGGTCGAGGTATTTTATTCCAATGAAAAGTTATCTGTAATGTTAATAATGCACCCTTTACAGACACCTGAAAATGATTAAGTCTATATATTTACCTAAATTGTCCTGAGTAAAACACATAGTGTACATATGAACCAGAAACTCATATGATGATTGGTGTTAATTCCCAAATCAACCAAAGAGGAGAAATACCACCTCCACTAACTAACCTATTTTTCTAAACTTTTGAAAATGTAAGGATTCTAGCTTTAGATAGCATAGTCAGATCCAAGTACTCCTGCATCTATGCTGCTGTGACATTATATTCACCAATCAGACATGTTAAATTCTAACAAACTGTGCTTCCATTATTAGCAATTCCCACAGGTAGCATCAACTTCCAGCCTAATTTTTCTCCTACAGCTGTGCTTCTTTATCCTTTCCTGAAAAATTATTTGTGGAGGTGCATGCCTTTGAAGTTTCTCAGCATATATTGTTATTTGAGGTTGAAAAGATAAGATTATCTAAATTTTTGCCAGAAACTCTGATACCCACATTATATCTTTGAAAGCATTGGTTGTCACACTGCTGCTGACATGTGCATTTAGGAGAAGCATGTAAATGTCAGTGCATTGCAGTCTCTGAGGGGTTGAAATAAACAATACCGGAAATCTTGGCCACTGAGGCTCACATGTAGATTTTCATTCCCAGTCCAGGCATCTAGATTCAGGGGCACCTAACTGAGGGGCTTTTGGTTGAGGCCTTCTTCAGAAACTTTTGTTCAGATCCCTGTTTCTGGAGAAGAAATGGAACTTTGATAATAATTTTCATACATTCCTATTAATATTCAATTCTCTTTAATCTTGCTCATACATTCTCCTCTACGCTCTCCTACCCCCTTTTCCACAAAATTGCGGGCCTGTTTTTTATGAGGGTGCCACCTCGGCAGTGAGACAGTGCCCCATGTTTGTGCTGATCCATCTGACCCTTTCCTGGTGCTTTTCCATGAGGAAAAAATGGAACAATTAGGAGTCGGTGCTTGATCTAATGTTGCCTGTTGTTTAACACAATCACAGAAAGGAAGACAAAAAGGCGTAACTATTTCTTTGATGTGGGCCTCTTGCTTTAATTTAAAACTCTGATATTAAGCAGGTTAGCTCTTCCCAGCTCAGCTCAGCTCTTGAAATTTCATGGAAGAAATTCTGTTTTTATTGGTCTAAATTTTGTGTCTTTTATATAGAAAAACGGTAATAAAATTGCATCGTATATTTAAAAATTGAATGCCTTCTGTTTTGCCATTTTACTGAAGAGAAAATTTGTGTAGCCTATTGGCATTATTAACAGTGAAGCTCCAAGTACTAATATTCAGAAAAAATAATGAATCAAAATCCAACTATTTCTCAGTAGCATTTTCTTTTTTATAAACTTTCTATTTTATTGTCTGTAATTAAAAAACTTCTGTAGAAAAGAGTTTAAAATTTTCAAAGTTAATACAAAATTATTTTTAGAATTTCTTTTTGCATAATGTTTGTCGTAAGTAGCTAATATTAATAAATTGTAATCATCAATTCTTATCTAAGCTGCACGTTAAAAAATATGTTAATATTTGCTGCTGCCTAAAATATAATACATATTTACATAATCTAAGCTACTAAAAATAGTAATAAACACACATATAAATAATCAACATACACAGGTCATTTTTTCTATTTCTTACTTATATTTTATGTTTCATATTTGTATCAGCACACTTTATGTCCTACTATCATATATGGAAACTTGCCTATTTTGCATCTTGTTATATTAAATAATAAGACATATGCTTAGCTTCCCCTAGGTTAAATTTTTTACATAATTGTTATTAATGTAAATAATCCAGAAATGAAAGTTTTTTAAAAAATTTCCAGTGCCCTCACTCTGCATGATATAATTCTATTTTTTAAAGTGTTAGTGCTGTTTGCATTATATAAAAGAATATTTTAGTGTATCAACTAACTACATACCTGAAAGCATGGCTTACTTTTTCATTAGTATATACTTTTGGTTGTACTCGGCTATTTTTCTAAAAGTGCTTGCAAATCAGTTCCAGGCCACAGGGCTTTGTCTTCAACAAAATAAGAATGTCTCAGAGACCCACAGAAATAACTGTGCCAAGTACTCCTATAAACAGGCTTCTGATAGAATGACTTATATAACTTTGAAACACTATCAGTGGACTAATTTATTTCTCTAATTCTAGCAGAGAAGCATATGTGCTTACAAGATAGAGTAAAACAAGTATGAGTAAAACAGGACTAAATGAACTGACGATGAATGATAATAGGTTTTGTTTGGAATGTGAACATAAAACATTCCTGCTATTATTTCCTTGGTATCTAAACATGAGCTAATGGGAGCCGTTGTTACATGTTGTACACCCTTAAGAAGGTTTACAGTTTTTTGTCTCACCTATATTCGTAGTTGTCTGTATTTGTGGTTTAGAATCTCAGCTATTTTCATAGTTGTAGCTATATTTATAGTTGCATGCAATGAGTTGCATGGTTGCACTCAGTAGCCAGGGGATGGGCAGGGAGATGCAAACAATTCTTCAGAGTAAGTTATTATCTTCTGTTGCAGTGGAAGTTCTTGAGGCTTCATAGCTACCTGGCACTCATCTCATATGAGCTCCTTTGTGTTTCTGAAGCCTCTGGCATACACCGAGGGTGTGGGTTTGCCTGGAATGTAGCATCAACCTGTAGAGAACAGGATTTTCCATGACCCAGTCATTGAATAAACTTGATATCTGCTTCTGCTGTTGAGAAAACATTATTTCTCCTTCAGGAATATCCACCCTCTTCATCAAGAACATCGTGTCATTCTTCAGGGTCACAGAATGCTCTACAGCCTACTTCCTGGTGTCCACCAAGGAGGAGATTAGTTGCATCTGAATTGAAGGAAGATTCGAGAGGGGTCACAGCTGCAGAATTCCAATCACGCTCAGTCTGACTGTGCTGATTTTAGAAAGACACATGGGGATCTGCCACAAGGAAGGCACTTTGCAGGGAGGCCTCAACCCCATGGCACACCCCTTCAGGAGGGCTCTTCTCCTTGTAACAGTCACTTAGCCACTTATAGAAAGGCAACTCTTAGAAAATTTAAATGGGGACCAAAATACTAACCCTAACCAGTTTATTATCTCAAAGAATTGGAAAAACAAAGTTTTCAAATACTACAGGATTAGAAGAGTAAACAAGATATGCTTTTTCTTTGGAGCTACATATATGTATTAAAAATGGGATGTACAAAGAATTTTTTATCACATGGAGAAGTGCTTATGAGATGATATACCATTAAACATATTAATGAAAGGCATACATTAAAAAGTATAACCAAACTTATACATTAGAGCCCAAAATTTAAAATGTGTAGAAAAATGATTGAGAGGAAATATGCCGAATTATAGGAATTGATGTGTTTCTTATAGGAATCAGGATCCTGTGAGAAATTAAATTGCTTTATTGATTGTCTTGTACTTTTATCGTTTCCAAAAGTTCTACAGAGAGTGTAATGTAGGACCTTAGTCAGGAATAAACATCTCTTTAAATAACCAGCAGAGAATTTCAAAGGAAGTGTGTGGTATGGGTTTATGTGTTTCTTTCAAGATCTAATATTTTCCACGTAGTGCTTCAGAAAAAACAAGGTAATTTCAACAACTTAACCCCATCATCAAGAGGGTGTTACTTAAGTACATTATGGGAGGTCATAGATAAACAACCAGTCAGCCTCTAAGCATCAGAAAATCCGTGATGTCCATTGGCCTGAGAGATGGTCTACATTTCTTTGAAGGAAAAAAGCAGGTTTTAAAACACTAGAACCGAATCAAATCCTAAATTTGAATAGAAAGATTAGAAAGGCTTATGCATGGGAAAAAGATTCAGGGTATCCAACGGTTAATTCTGACTATTTCTGAGTAATTTAAATTTACCTATAATTTAAAAAAAAAATTAAGGTCAGGTGTATTGACTCAAACCTGTAATCCCAGCATTTTGGGAGGCCGAGGTGGGTGAATCACTTGAGACGAGGAGTTTGCGACCACTATGGGCACCATGGCAAAACCTCATATCTACTAAAAACACAAAAATTAGCCAATTGGTGGTGTGTGCTTGTAGTCCCAGCTACTTGGGAGGCTGACGCATGAGAATCGCTTGAACCTAGGGGGTGGAGGTTGCAATAACCCAAGATCTCACCACTGCACTCCAGTCTGGGTGACAGAGCAAGACCTTGTTTCAAAAAAAATTTTTTTGTATTTTAATTAGGAATCAAATAAGATAATTAAATGTAAACTTACACTTAATTTACTTTTTAAGCATTTTAAGAATTGGTATTCTAATTTTGTGTCGGTACATTTTAAGAATCAATAAAATTATTTTTAAAATCAAAGCAATTTTAAAGCTTTTACTTCATTAGACTCCCTGGCAAGAAAGCCCTGGGAAGATAGAAAGTTTGGAGGATGTCAGAGGGAAGTTTGGGAAAAGTAGAGGAATATATGGAGGGCAGAAGGAGTGAACATTAGGGAAACCCTCCCCTAGCTCAGTCTTCAGATACGCTGGTGGACTTCCCCACTCAGCCTGAGTCACCTTCGCTACTGACCTCATCTTGTCTTCTGACTGGATGCTCCTTTCAGGAAGCTGGTGTCTGGAAAACTTCTCAATTTTAGTATCAATTATTATTCAGAGGTTGAAAGGCAAGCCTCCACCTAAAGTGCCAGTCTTGGGGCCTTGGTGAGACCCTCTGCTGGGGAGAAACTCCACTTCACTGGGGGGTTCTTATTTTATACAAAATGGGGACATGACGGGGCAGCCAAGCAGCAGAAAACCAAATCATGAGCAAGAACCAAACTCTTGGGGAGTTTGATTCTTTCTGCTACATAGTGCACAAGTTCTGGAGAGACTATAGGGGTGAAGAATAATAAAAGATTTTATTTTTGAATCATCTTGCGTGGTTGCCTGTTTGGAGTGCAGTAGCGTGATCATAGTTCACCGCAGCCTAGAACTCCTGGCTCAAGTGATCTCTGCCTCAATATCCAGCATAGCTGAGACAACAGTTTGGAACTATCACACCTGGCTAAATGTTTTTAATGCTTCAAGTTTTTTGTATAAATGGGGTCTCACTATGTTGACAAGGCTGGTATCAAATTCCTGGCCTCAAGCAATTCTATCTCCTCAGCCAATCAATATGCCAGGAATACAGGCATGAGACACCGTGCCTGGCCAGCGCCTTTATAATGTTTTATTCTCCCAAGTTCTTCTCAAAAAAGTCAACATCCACCAAGTATCAGCTGAGATTTGAACTTCAACCCTGGGCTGAACTCAGTGGCAGGACTCTCCATTCCCAACAAGGGACAAATGGAGAAATAAATGGTGAGAGGGAGGAGCTTGATTCTGCCCATGCTAATTGGACACCTGTTGTGTGCTAGGAAGACACACAGAGGTCAATCCAAATTCCAGCTCCAGCCAGAGCAGGACAGCCATGGTGTAGAAGGCCTAGCCCAGAGGAGGGAGCCTTAGCAAGCGGAGCACCCCTCCATGGAGTATTGACACTCTGTTATTTCAGTTATACTGAAAACTAATAGAAGGTATGAGATATTGCACTCAACCATTATGAGCAAGAAAATCCATTCAATCTTCTTTAATTTGGTTAAAACTAACCTTTACTAAAAGGCAGCAAAGAATAATGCTTGTCTGTGAGAATTTAAAAACATCATAGCAAACCACTCCGTTCTCAGTTTAAGAGGAAAGGCAAAACGCTTGTGTGGGAGAATAAGAAAAAAAATATTTATGTAATACTTTGAGTTTCTATTGCTCCTAACCACCATTGCTACATAATTATTCCAAATTATAGCTCTTATTTACCCATCCTACTGTTAAAAAGTACCTCACTGATTCTGTAACCCCCAACTAATCCACCCTATAGTCCCTAGATGACCAGAGATGCCTATTATCCTCTGCTTTTTACTGTCACTCTCCCCAGTCCAGCAAACTCATTCCTCTTCCTGCATAAGCCTCCTGTGTTTCTGCCTTTTTTTATCTGCACCCTCTGCTGAGATTCTTTTGTCTTCACCCATCCCAAAGCCATCCATACTTCCACTGCTTGACTAGGGGTAATTATCTCATTCACCCAGCCTAATTTTTAACCTTACCTTCCTGCTCCCACCCTCTCTTCACTCTGAACAAGATTTTACTAGGTTGTTGTTATGTTCTGGGGTTCGGAGAATCTGACTAGTGTGAGTTTCCCAAGGTAAAGGTAATGCCTTAATAATTTTCACTTTAATTGCTGTTTGCGCAGTGTTTTGCACAAAATTTAACACAATAATTGCTCCCAGAGTAAATGTATAAATCTTTGCAATGTCTGATTTGACTCCCTTAGAGTTTGGATCTTTTCCCCTACAACCATCCAGAGTCCTGTCTAACCAAAGTGAAAATGCGGAACTCCCTCTTTCTGGCTGGCATCCCTGCAGAGAATGGAAATAAATGCTGTCTATGCCAACTCCCTAGAACAAGTATAGGTTTCATCTAGACTAGTTTTCAAAATGAGGAAACAGGATGCAGACAAATACTTTATTCCCACTTTTTGGCCTGGGGTTTATTAACAAGGTGAAATTATACAGAAGAATAAATTAGTTTAGCTGAAAAAAGAAAAAATGTATAGTTAATGGAGGGAAAAAATTGAAAATGCAATAAAACCTGAAGATGTTCAGGAATTCAAAGTTGTTGATGCATAGAAATACTACTGGTTTTTCTACATTGGTTTTGTGTCCTAAAACTTTACTTGCTTATCCATTTCAGGAGGCTTTTCAAGTTTTCTCCAAAAGGAGTTTTGGAAAGACTTTAGCATTGTCTGCATAGTGACTCATATTGCAAATGGAGAAAGAGAATTCAATTTTTTTTTCTATTTGTATGCCTTTTTCTTTTCTATTGGCTGATTGCTGTGGATAGGACTTTTAAATCTAATTAAATTGTATTTGTTAGATTTTTGTATATTTTAATATGTCTCCAATTAATTTTATATCTGTATAATGTCCCCTTATAAAGGAATATGTAGCTGTTTTATTTAGTTATTTTATTATTGATGCACATTTGAGTTTTTTTCAGTTTGGAAAAGTACCAAATAATGCTGCTTAGAGCATTTTTCTGCATTGGAAAATATGCTGGCATTTCTATTGGGTGTATATACCTAGTAGCAGAGTTTCTGGGTCCTAGAGTGTGCTTATGTACATCGTGTATGTAAGGAGTTACTACTCAAGAGGTTTTGAATGCCGTTATAACAGTTTGCACACAGAATGGTATAAGAAAGTTCCAGTTGCTTGACATCATCACTAGTACTTAATTTTGTCAGTTTTCAAAAATGTTAATGATTGCATAGTGGTATTCAATTGTAGTTTTCATATGCATTGCTCTGATGCATAAGGATGTGGATGTGTTCATCTACTTGTTGGCCCTTCGGTTCTGTATGTGGAACTCCTAGTCACATGTTTGCCAATTTTGTTCAATGTATGCATCTTTGTTTATTAATTGATGGGATTTAGTTAAATAAACTAGATAAAAGTCTTTTGCCACATAAATATATGACAAATGTTGATTTCCACTTTGTTCTTGCCTTTCAGCTCTCCTGAAGCTTTTTTTTTATGAAGAGAAGGTTTTAATTCTAATAAAGTCCAATTTGTCATATTTTTCTCTTGAGAATTAATGCATTTTGTGTCCCGAGAAATCTGGGCCTGTGCCAGTCATGGACATATTTATCTATGTTATCTACTAGAAATATTGTTTTCAGCTTTGACCTTAAAATTTAAAATCCACTTTTCATTGGAATTTGTTAATAATATAAGATAGGAGTGTTTTTTCTCACATAAATAACTGGTTGACTCAAGGCTATTTACCGAGAAGACTGTCTTCACTCCTCTTCTGTGCCTTTTTTGTAATATACAGAATGTCCAAATGTGTGAGTCTGAGTTGGACTCTCGAGTTTTTCTAGTTTTCTTTGTGCCTATTTTTGCATTACTACCATAGATAGCTTTTATTACTATAGCTTTAATCTAAGTCTGAATATATGTCATTTTAAGCTCACAAACTTTGTTATTCTTCAGGACAGTTTTTACATTTCTTCGATTTTTTATATGTATTTAAATTTTTTAAACTGATTAGACAGTTTCCACAAGATTTCTGCCAAAATATTGTATTGTGAAAATGGAAATCTATGAATCAATTTAGGGAGAAGTTACATAGAAACAAAGCAAAACAAAACACTAATAACATCCAAAACAAACTTAAAGAGAACACCACAATAAGAAAAGAAATTCCCAAATTGGAATAAATATTTACAACTCATGAAATTACAAAGGGGCTCGCATTTCCATAAAGGGCACTCTCTCTCTCCCTCTCTCTCTCTTTTTTTTTTTCCACAGAGACTAACTCTGTCACCATGTCTTGAGTGCAGTCGTGCAATCTCGGCTCACTGCAACCTCTGCCTCCCAAGTTTCAGCAATTCTTCTGTCTCAGCCTCCTGAGTAGCTGGGGCTACAGGCTTGTGCCACCATTCCCGGCTAATTTTTTGTAATTTTAGTAGAGACGGGGTTTCACCAGGTTGGCCAGGCTGGTTTTTAACTCCTGACCTCAAATGATCCGCCCGCCTCAGCCTCTCAAGTGTTGAAATTACAGATGTGAGGCACCACAGCTGACCTGTAAAGACCTCTTAAAAATTAGTTAAAAAACAAACAAAACAGAAAAAGAGAAAGAAGAAACAGCCACTCAGTTAAAAGAAAAAGATAAAGAAAAAGAAAAAGAAAAGAAAAGAAAAAAAGGCAAAAGACATTATTTTACAGGTCTAGTGCCCTGTGCCCCTCACTGTAATGGGGGTGGATATGGGCTTCACAGGACATGAAATTCATCAAACAGTTGCTGGTTGAAGGAGGGAAAATCTTGCGGGACCAGCCTCCAGAACAGAGCCTGTGGTGCACTGTTTCATCCCGTAGCCCTGGTAAGAAAACCTGGCTGTGCCGTGCTTTATGTTCACCTGCATTTGCCCTGTTCAGAGGCCTGAGCTACCGTGGACACAAAAGTCTGCTCAAACTCTCCCCATCCCAATATTCTATCTGGTATTGAGCATGACACCCTGTCTTCACTGAGCATGTGTTTATGCAGTTTTGTGACCACCTATCCATTTTACAACAGGAAGACTGAGGCCCCCAAAAAAGGCAAAGACTGGTCCATATCCCAGAAATTGGGAAGAGCACAGAGTATTAGGGAGGGATCCAGCTTCCAAGGCCTTGCATGCACCCCACCCATCAGGTTTGCTTTGGAAATGAGTGCTCTTAAGTCCTGGAAAACCCTGTGGTCTACTTTCTACCTGGGCTTTCTACCCTTCCTTATTCTCACATAGGTGTGCAGCCATGAACACACAAACACACCACACACACACACACACACACACAGGCTTCTAAGGTGGAGATCATGGAGGTGAGGTTAGAGAAGAGGAAACCAGAGAAGTGACAAAACGGGAAGAAATAGAAGAGGCAGCTTTGCCATGAGGCAGAGGCATCCACTCCCCCAGCTACATGACCAGGAGCTGACAGCATGTGATGAAGGATCCTCCAGGTTCCCTGGGTTCTTCCAGGCCTGGGGATCTTCCCAGCTGTTTCAAGAGGACAGGACAGGGGTTGTGACTCCCACCTCTATGGGCACCTGGAACTAAAATGAGCTATGCCCTCCCCCAACCACCCCATGTGATATAAAGTGAGGCTACGGGAAAGAAAACCTTCGTTTTCTCTCTCATAAATAGGGGTACTCAAAAGGAATAATACCAAGAATTCTAGATACTCATAAGTGTCTGCTCCCCTTGGCTCTTCATTGGTAACTCACTGTGCTTTGAGACTCTGGGAAGAGGCTTTTCAGGTTCTAGAGGTCCTTCAGAGAAGAGAGAGGCCTAGAGATGTGGGCAGATGAGGACTTGGAATAAAGCAGAATGTGACAATGCACTGGGCTCTGGAGTGTGGGGCCCAGAAAAAATACTAGATTTTTGGGCTGTCCTTGAGGTCCTCATTCAGAAGTGGAAGAAAATAATGTCTCTGAATGCTGTTAAAGTGTTTAATGAGTGCACAGCACACTCAAAGAGGCTGAGGAAAATAGGAATCAAGGGAGGTTTCCGAGGTTACTTTTATGGCCCTTGGAGTCTTCAGATACTGCTCCTTTTCCCAGGGGTCCTTGAATAGCCACTGCCTTGAGAATTCCCCAATGCAGGTGCCTGTTTTGTGATGCTTCCACCTGGGACTTCAGGGCTAGTGGAGGCCTCTAGGTGGCGGCAGACCCCGTGTTTCTTATGCCCGCTGGGCTTTACTGGAGCAGCTGGAGCCGGGGGAGAGACAGGCTGAGGTCCTGCAGCTCCTGTTATCATTCATGATCTCCACATTATTGGGTGGCCAAAAGTGGGAAGAAGGGCTTTGTGATTTTCCATGTTATTTTACTCAGCGACTCTTCCCCTAGCACTCACCATGTGGCAGCTACCTTGGTAGGTTCACCTTATGGTACCAAAAATGATTATGTTATCCCTGCCTCCCCGCGGGGAGCCCACAGTCTGAGGACGGCAGGACAAAAACACTAAAGCAAGTACATGTGAAAGAAAAGAGCATTTTATAATGGAAATAAAGTAGAATGTTGGGAGGGAGGGCTGGGGAGAGGTTGCCTGGAGGGGACATGAATGCCTCCCTGAGGTGACATTATGTTGTGACCAGAATGACAACAGAGAGCCAGTCCTGCGCAGGTGTGCAAAGTGTGTCAGGGAAAAGCCACTCTTTGTGAAGAGACTCACAGGCACAGGTGAGTTCAGCAGAGGAGGTTATAACGGGACAATTGTGGCGGCAGGCAGCCTGAGAAAGAAAGGAAAAGAGGGGAGGGAGGATCCTGGGGACTGAAAGAGGAGATTAGTCATTTGCCCCTCTCTGACAAAATTTCCCTGAATTTTAGCACATGTTGACAACAAATACTATCTCACAACTTTTGTGAACCAGAATCTCGATATAGCTTAGTTGGGTGCCTCTGCCTCAAGGTCTCTTACGAGGCTGGGGCTGTGATTTCAACTGAAGCTGGATTTGAGGAGAGATCAGCCTTCTATCTGCCTCATGGAAACTGGCACGATTCAGTGTGAACTGAGAGCCCGAGTTCCTTCCTCTCGATTGGCCTGGGCATCTCCTCAGTTCTCTATCATGTGGGTCTGTGCCTAGAGCATCTTAGGACACTGCAGATCACTTCCTCATCTTGAGGATTACAATACAGAGATGAAAAATGAAAGAGATAGACAGACATATGCAGAGAAAAAGAGAGAAAGGGAGACAGAGAGATTGAGAGAGGACACACAGGACAGAGCAAGTAAGAGGAAAATAATAGCTGTTTTAGAAATATAACTTTGGAAGTTGCAGAAGACTATGTGATTCCCCACCATGTTCACATACCAGAACCTTAATCCCCAGTGTAATGGCCTTAGCAGGTCAGAGGTAATTAAGTCCGAAGCATGAGGACCTCATGATAGCGATTACGGGCTTTGTAAAAGAAACCGCAGAAGGCTGTCTCTCCCTCTCTCTGCTAAATGAGAAAACAACCTGAAGTCTGGAGTTTGAAACTCAGAAGAGAGTCCTTACCAGACCCCAACCATGCTGGAAGCCCAATCTCAAATTTCTGGCCTCTAGAACTAATGTTTTTTATTTATAAGTTGCCTAGTCTATGTTTTTTGGTATAGAAGTCTGAACTAAGTCAGAAGTGATAACCTATCACATTTGTTGTTTTCCCTTTGACAGAAACTAGAACCAGGTCCCCAAAGAGTTCATCCAATGACTAACAGAAATTCTTCAGTTTGCAGAATGACAGATAAGAAAAGATACAACTTGTTGAAAGAATGAAATTTATTCCACTTATGAGACTTCTAAAAAGTGGCTAAAATTGGTCGGAACCAATATGGTCAACTGGAGTCTGTGTGAAATAAGCTCACTGATGTCAGAGCCCAAATTTCCATCACATGTTTTGTACTAACTGTCCCCAAATTTGCACATGTGATCTGTGTGTAGCAAGAAAAAATAGTTGTTCATGCCCAGTGATTTTCCATACATTTTTCCTTTAAGCAATTCCGTACTAATCCAGAACCTACCTCCTAAACCTTTCTGAGAATATTACTACCTTTAAGTAAGCACAGGGAAACAGACTTGAGCTGGAATCCCATCTCTCTGTTAGAAACCCGGTGTTATAGTACCTGCTTCTGAGGCACTGAGAGGTGAGCTGCGTTTTAAAATAACAGAGTCACTCACAACTTAGTGTTGTTGTGAGACTTTGTTGGGGGTGCCCACCACATAGGCTGAGATGAGGCATATACATATGATTCTAAATATAATGCACAGCACTGGAATATTTAATGCCAGAAGACAGTATCTGATTTTCTTTTAATTTCAACCTCTTCTGCTGTGGAATGGAAAATTAAGGCCATATATATAAAATATATATCTTTTATGTATAAAGATACATAAACTATGTATCTTTTATATATAAAGATATATATGTATAAGTTTATATATTATATATAGTTATATATAATTGATATATATATAGTTATATATAATATATAAATAAAAATATTTATATACATTATATATATATATATTTTTTGAGACACAGTCTCGCTCTGTCACCCAGGCTGGAGTGCAGTGGCAGGATCATGGCTCAATGTAATCTCTGCTTCCTGGGCTCAAGTGATTCTTACACCTCAGCCTCCTGAGTGGCTGGGATTACAGGCATGCATCAACACATCTGGCTAATTTTTGGATTTTTCGTAGAGAAGGGTTTTTGCCATGCTGGCCATGGCTGGTTTCAAACCCCTGGCCTTAAGTGTTCCAGCTGCCTTGGTCTACCAATCTGCTAAGATTACAGCAAGAGCCACTGCATCCAACCGATTTTGATTCATTCTATCTCATATATCACCAAAGACTGTTTTTGGAAGTTGATGTTAGCATAATCCCATTATGCATACTTCAGGGCTGGGGAGACCTGAAGCACACAGTCATTTTCATATGGTCACAGAAATGAAAAGGAAAAGAAGATTTTAACCCAACTCTGTTCTCTCAAACCTGGGGCCCTGGCTGCATTTAGAACTTTTTGGGAATTAAGGGACATAATTGTGTTTGCATAACTGTTTACAGGTAAAGAGTTGACATGGGAGAGGAGGGTGAGCAATCAGCAGCCCAGCAGGGACTTTGCGTAGATTTATGGAGGAAAAGGGCTCAGGGGATAAAACCTTGAAGAAGTTAACAGACTTCCCTTGTGACAAAACCTAACAGAATTTAGAACTTTGGGAACCAGAAACCCACATTCTAGAGACAGCCCTGTATCTAGCTAACTTCTTGGGAGATGCTTGAGAGGGCACTGTGTTCTCATTGTGTTATATTCCCAAGCTGTTGCCTGAGAAAGGCTCAAAGTGAGAGCCTTTTCTGACAGTATACATACTGGCTCAGCCTACATCCTTGATACCACTGGCCATTCGACAAGAGGCACCCACAGGTAACACAGTTTAGCCCAGGGCAGGTCCGTCCATGCCAGGCCACCTGTGTCATCTAATCTGGGCAACCCGACCCTGCCTACCATTACCCTGTGTTGCAAGGGGAGCAGGAAAGGAGGGGGCTTTTCCTCACAGGGGCAGGTTTTAAGACACAGGAACCCTGGTGGGTCTGTCATGTTCATACCCAGGTCACGGTTGGTGGAATAAAAAGTTGTGAGTTGCGGACCAAGTACGTCTACTCAGATGTGAATCCCAAGGCCTTAAGCTGTCCTCGGGTTTCCTCATTGGCTGGGGGTCTATGCAGATACTCCTATGTTCCTGATCTAGGAAACAGAATTTCTAATGCAGATGTCACCTGGTGGTAAAAACAAAGAAGACAATTAACTTTTTTCGCTGCTGGGAACACTCTTTGTAGAGCTGCATTAAAATCAGTGAGCAGATATTTGATGGGTTCAAGTCCCCCATCTCCTTGGACAACTGGCAGGTTCACCACACCCCCCAAGCATGGCATACAATGAGTTATGTTGAGAGCAGGCACATGGGGTTCTCTACAGAGAGGGACCTGACAAAACCAGGATGGGTCCAGGATCCAGACCCAAATATGGAATTTCTCTGCGCTTTCTCCTAGGGGATTTCCATGAGTGACCCTCAGATCTACCCCCCAAAAATCTAGCCTTAACTGGTCCCAGTGGCAACTTGGTTAAGTGTAAAGTCCCTTTTTACATTCTTGTAGAAATATCAGAGAAGGCCTTTGTGTTGTTTTTACTTTACACTAGGCTGCATTTATTCATGTTACTACAGTTTGTATAGTTTTAATTATTCCCCTCTGATATCATCTGTAGCAAGCAGGTTCATGGTACTGCCAGACTTTCTCCAAGACTTGAAAGCCACCACTATCACTAATACTCTACAAAAATAGGGAAGAGTTTACATGAAAAAGGGGTTATATTGTTTCCTACATTTGTCTGCAATGTGTCATCTAAGAGAACTCATCCCAGTAGCCCATCAGGGCAGAAGTGGTGCCCTCACATCTCTTTGTAATGTTCTATAATGGGGGTCACTTCCCAGAGTGGTTTAGCCTTTCAATGGCTATTATTTCTGATCAAAATGGAATAAAACTAGAAATGAATAACAGAAGAAAACAAAAATAGCAACATATATATGGAAATTAAACAACTCACTTTTGAGCATGCTCATGTTTAAGGGTTGTAAGACTTAATATTATGAATAATGCTTATGATGTCTAAAGCGAGTTACAGATTCAATGCAATCCCTTTTAAATTAAGAACTTTTTTTTTGAAATAGAAAAAGGAACCAACAAATTATATGGAATCTCAAGCGACCATAAAGAGCCCCAAAATGTTTAAAAAAAACAATGTTAGTGACCTCACCTTTTCTGATTTCAAAGCACATTACAAAGCAACAGCAATGAAAACAGTTTGTTTCTGGCATAAACACAGACAATTTTTCCAATAAAACAGAAGGTAGCACACATGTAAACCTCACACATATGAGCAAATAGCTATTTGCATACCAATATTCATTGCAGCATTATTCAGAAATGCCAATAGGTGAAAGCAACACAAATTTTCCTCATAGAATGAATAAATAAATAAAATTTGTAATATAAAACTAATGGAATATTACTTAGCTTTTAAAGGCAGAAAATCTTGTACCATCCACAATAAAGAGGAATCTTGAGAACATAATGCTAAGTAAAATTAGTCACAATAAAACAGATACTCTATGATTCTACTTATATGTAATATCTAAAGTATTGAAACTTAGAACCAGAAAATAGAATGATTTTTATCAGGAGCCAGGTGGTAAGGACAATGGGTAGTTGTCATTTCATGTGTACTGAGTTTTAGTTTTGCAAAAGAAAAAATTTTACAAATATGTTGCTTAACAATGTAAATACACTTAACATGACTGAACTGTATAAGAAAAAATATTAAAGATTCTAAATTTTATGTTATGTATTTTTACCACAATCGAAATTAAAAATGACACCCAAGGGCCAAGAGTGATCACTCATGCCTGTAATCGCAGCACTCTGGGAGGCTGAGGCATGCAGGTTACTTGAGGCCATAAGTTCAAGACCAGCCTGGCCAACATGGTGAAACCCCAGCTTCATGAAAAATACAAAAATTAGCCAGGCGCGGTGGTGCACAACTTTAATGCCAGCTACTCAAGAGGCAGCAGCTGGAGAATTGCTTTAACCTGGGAGGTGGAGGTTGCAGTGATCCAAGATTGTGCCACTGCACTTTGGCAACAGGGTGAGAGTCTGTCAAAAGAAAAAAAAAAAAAAAAAAAGACACCCGAAGGGACAGAGTTACAAAGTTTCTGAAAAATTATCTTCAAATCACATAAATCTTTCCTTCACACTAAGATAATATAAACAATAGATGTTGAAATTAAGACAATTTCCATGATTACTCACTTAGACAGAATAAATTATTGGCCATCAAATAAGAAGAAAATATAAAAGTCATAAACAAAATAGGGGCAATATTTATACAGGCAAACAAACAGTTAAATCATTGTATTAACAAAAGACATAGGGATGGTTCATATTTGACTTCTGCCCCACACTGTCTTAATGCATACAGAGTTGAATATTGTTATACAATATTATATTATACAAATTAAAACTTAAAACAATAAACTAATATAAGGTGCCCTACCCTAAAACATGAAACACAGAAATGTAAAATTGCAAAACAAAGTTAAAATAAACATTAACCCCCAAATTCTTATTTGAATAATGAAATTCAAAATCATAATAAATAGGTAGAAAGTAAAAACACAATTAACTGATGTGAGACAGCCTACTCTAAAAAATACAGAAACATAAAATTATAAAACATAATTAAGAGAAACTTTAATCCATAAAATCCTGAATAAACATAGTGTCCAAATGAAAAAGAATCCCAGGTAACTACAATTTTTAACTCTTCCTGTGAATCTATGAAAAGTATGAATTTTGAATTATTTGGATACAGTTAGGGCAACAACATTTCAGAGAAAACACATTATAATTAATACAAAGAGCTGTGATGAGAAAGTTTTAAGGAATAAGCATTTAAGTAATACTAGAGAAAGTTTTAAATTATGCTACTGATGCATTGCTGCTTTTCTTACACAAAACGATAAGGCTGTAATCTAGCTTTTAATTGAAAAGTCTTACATTTCTAAATATGGTAACAATATAAATATTGTAAATACAGTATAAAACATTGACATATAAAATAAAAATTGGAAATAAATTGTACTATTAGTCAAATAAAAGTTGGGAAAACTGGAAGAAGATGCTAATAGTAACATTGTGCCTAGAGTCAATTAAACATACAAGCCAAATATTTTAATAAATTATAAATTATATAATTTATACATAATATATACATTTGAGCATGCTATTTTACAACTTCTGAAAGGAAATTACAGACAAATGTGACACATGATAATTCAGAAAGTGAAAACACAGTCATAGTAATCTTCATATTAAAGAAGACAGAATCATAAAATACTAAGTGAGAAATAAAGTAATAATTGTGAATTCAATATATGTTGAACAATATTCTAATTTCCCTTACGGAAAAAGTTTTTGTAAGAAATCAGTAAAATGAGTACATACAATAAACCATCCTACAGTAGAGGCTGTTGGCATATAGAGTTTACATTTCTATGATTAGGTCCTACTAAGAAAAAGGAAATTTTAAAATAAAATACTTAGATTTTCCTATTTAATAAGATAATTTTTGCCTATAAAGTTTTTCAGTCTAATTTTCTTGTAGAATTAGGTTTTAGCCATCGTAAAACTTGACATTATGAAGCAGAAAACAGGTGTCATCTGTCTCTGGTGTTCCTGGAATTTCTAACCCAAATGCCAATTCCTCCACAACTCCCTTCACACACTTCTGAATTGAAGCACAACAGATTTATTAAAATTGGCATAACAGCGGTCTCCAGAAATGTGCAGAGATTTTCCCAGATCCCCAAAATCAATGACAAACTATTCAGATCATTTAGGTTCTCACAAGATTCTGGGAGGACTTTGGCTTTCAGTGTGAACGCACTGGAAGATTCTAAGAGAGAGGGAGAGAGAGAGAATGTGTGTGTGTTGAAATCAGAACCCCACCTTATGTGTTTATTGTGGAAATTGAAAATGAAAGCCTAAAGTTGAAAATTAAAATCACACATGATAGCACGTTGCAAACTGTTTTCTGTGCTAGATGGGTCGTTCTAGGGTGTAGGACCCTGGAAACACCGTTTTCCCCTCCTTCCGGAAAGAGCTACTCACACTGCTCAAAGCCTGCATCCACATGTACCATGTCGAAGACCAGCTCAAGAGCCTGGACCCATATGCCACCTTCAGCAGGGTTGACTGCAGCTTCTTGTTCTTCCTGAGCATCTTCTCCAATGGTGACCTGAGAGTTGCGGGAGGCATTGGGGCCAGGATTGAACAGAGGAAAAAGGAGCACGGAGGCCAGGTGCTGAGGACCAGGCCATCTCACCTGGAGAGTTCTGGCCCTGAGACATCCAGACCAGCATGATGTTTAGGTGCAGACAGCTGGCCCTGGGTGGCCCTGTGCTGATCACCGGCCTCAGCCCCTCAAACAGTGGGAAATGGAAGAATGGCTTGGAAATGGGCCCTGTCGACAGTGTGTCACCTGAGCACATTCTCCCAGGGGCCCAAGAGGGGCCATCGTGTCTCTAGAACCAGAACTGGAAGGTGAAACTGCCAGGGGGAACAAGGAAGAGGGTCCTCAGTTGGGTGGAGGGTCTCACAGCAAGACGCCTGGCTTAATCAAGCTTGGCCATTCCTGAAGCACGTTCAGTGACTAAAAGTGCCTACCATGAGCAGCTGGAACACACTCTCTGAGAGCTGCAAGATGCATGGGGACCTCAAGTACCTGTTTGTAATTACAGCCAAGGACCAGCAGGCAGCATTGCTGCATCCACATGGGCTTTTGCTGGAACCAGTAAGTCTCTGCCAGCCCCTCCCAGGCTCCTGGGATGCCACTTGTTCTGGGTCTGTGGACAGATAACCAGGACACTTACTCAGTGAAGCCCATCGCTCAACCCCAGCCCCACCATACCCTGTCTCCTATGCCATTCCTCATCCCAGAAGGAAAGGCAATGCCTTTGTCCCACAGCCCCTGCCTTGTGTCATCTCATGTGGGGGTATGGAATGAACCCGTCAGCCTAAACTCCAGTCCTTCTGCCTGAGGAATCTGTCCCCGCTGTCTTAGTCGCCCTCTAGGGAGCTGTCAGTGGGATAAAGAGCAGCCCTGGAAGAGAGGCCCACCTTCTTCTGTTTGACTTCAGGACAGCCTTTCAGGGCAAGAACCCAGAGCAGATGGAGGCCTCACAGAAGGCTGTGGCAGGGCTCTCGGCTTGGTGGGCTAAGCATCTCCCTCTCTGATGACTGCCATGGGGCCCACAACCACTCATTCAAGAGGGTCACCACCACATTGCAGGTGTTCAGCTGGACGGTTCCCCAGGCAGAGCCTGCCATGGACTGCATACACACAGAGGATGCACACCTTGAAGTTGGACAATGAGGAGAACATTCCTGAAGAGGTGCATGCAGCCTGGCCCTGCCCTCACTGGGAACCCCCTTCCATCTGGGTACTAGACAGAATTCTGTGCACTTTTCTGGAGGCTCCATGCTGGTCTGTTCATTTGGAAGTTTGATGCTGTCCGTGAGGAAGTAACAAAAGAGATATCTCAGAGCAGGTTGTGGGGCACAGGCTGAGAGATTTTCTCCCTCCCTAGTCCCTCTGCAGACACGGGGCTGGAACAAGAACCTGTGGATAATGAGGGAACTTCTCTTCGAGAACCGGCCTGAGCAGCTGCTTCAAGAAAGAGCCACATTAAAGTGCCTATAGCCCCTGATGAGGGAATGGTAGCCTCAGGCCCGCCTGCCATGTGTGAGCAGGTTTTCTTGCTATCAGGATGAAAGCAAAGAAAGCTGGAATGAGCCCAGCCCTCTCAGGCACCTTGAAGACTGTTGGGGTTCCTTCCAGCCCTTCTAGCCTTATGCTTTTTGGCAGGCCACTCAGGCACCTTTTTCCAGCCTCTGAGACTTCCATGCTCTGGAAGGAGAGGGTCCCACTTTTCACTAGGCTATGGGGCCAGGCCCATCCAGCTCCCGGCTTCCACTAACAACCATGGGGCTCTCACCTGGGCACACACTGCCCAAACATGGACCTTCTAAGGCAGAAGATCATGTGTCTTGCAGTTCCAGCTTTCTAGGGCTTAAAAGTTATCAGTGCTGTTATTAAGATAGGGAAGTGAGAAAGGAAAACTTGCTGTAAAAGTTTCCCATAATCTTACCACGGAGATCATCAGCACAGATGACAGCACAGGTAGGGCTGCTGGGGAGGCTGAAGGAGAGTGTCCAGCCTGTTCTGCCAGCTGGTCCTTGCCAGGGGTGTCTCGTGACCCAGTCCCTTAGAGAAGCATGCAGATATCTCAGCAAGTATCTGGAAGGTGCAGATCAGGGCAACCCAGCACTACTGATGGTGGAGTGGGCCTACCTCCCATCAAGCTGTGTCTCCACAGCTGACCCTTGTAACCAGGAGGTGTTTTACAACATGTGCAAGGCAGTGAGCTCCATCAGCTGTGTGGCATTCAACACTCACTTCAACTCGGACATCTCACCAGAAAGCAGTGGGGACTGGCCAATGCAGAAGCCTGCAAAGTGGAACAGAGCGTCATGGGGTGGGGGATGTGGGGCCTGCCTGCTCATCTGAGCACTGCTCCCTGAGGGTGTGATCTGCAGGCTTCCTGAAGGAGGGCTGTGAGCTCTTCTGCGAGGCCCTGAGCCTGTGGAACATAGCTGAGGCCAAGCCCATGGGGATTTGTGTCTACTTGCACCTCCTTGCTCATCTCAGTACACTACAGGTGACTGTGCCGAGGTGGGCCTTGAGCATCCCCTGGGCTGTGTCAGCAAACGGCTCTGGGCCTGGCCTGGCATTGAGGGATGGCAAAAAAGGAGCCTGGGGTTGCATTGTCATCCCCTATGGTAGCATAAAATGAGAGAGTCCAGACCTGCAGGACTGGAACCCTAACAAAGGGGTTAGGAGACTGCTCACTTTCCCTCAGGAACCCATGTGGAGGAGCTGAGGGAGGTTAAGGAGACCCTAGGGACTCACTTGTTCTGTCTGGGCTTCCCCCTGCTCCATCGTTTGATGACCATTTTCTGGGAAGAGCTCAGGAACCTCCTGTGCTCTAGTGAGACGGGGCCTCCCCTCACAGGGTATTCTGAGACTGTGAGTGAGAAGCTAACACAGTGCCTTGCAATACTCACGGGAGCTGTCATCCTCTGTGACCATCACGTGGCCTTGTAGTGTTCAGACTGCCTGGCCTGCCTGGGGTTTGGTGAGGCTGTTTTGTGGTCAGCTGCTTTAGAAGCTCACTTTCTCTGCAATCAAACAGTGACTGTTTACATGTCTGTTTATGGGTTTAAAAAATCCTAATATTTCCTTTATAGTAGTTCACCTTGTATGTGTTTATTTGTATAAATTTTATTAGAATAAAGATAGCTTAAGACAATAGCATTTTAAGGTCTTAATGGGGCATAGACTTTCATGTCACAACAGCTAATGTTGACCTCCTTTTGCTGCCTTTGTGTAAATTACACATAAAAAGTGCAGCCAGAGGTGACTAGAGCTGAGCTGCTTGGGCTTGCTTGCTGGCCTGCAGTCAGGTGGACTCTGGCTGTGAGGCAGTGCCCACCCTGGATCTACATCCCCCACTCTCTCTCCTTAGTCCCTGAGTAACCAACAAGGCCGTGCTAATGAGAGGGCGAGTGATGGGCATCGGGCACCCCAATACTATCCGGGAAAATTTGAATGCCATCTGGGCTGGAGCTGTTGGGATTACGGGCTGAGGCTGTCTTGGCTTGTCATGGTGCCACCCACAGATGTGCCTGCCCTGTGCTGCTTCTCCAGAAGCCGGCTGCCCATGGCCCTGAGCCTGTCACACCATGCTTGCTACCTCATGCTGCTTGTGTTTGAAAAACCCATCCCGAGATGACGCTGCTGGATGTAAGTCCTGAAAAGAGGGCATCACCTTTGTCCTGGGGGATTAGGAGCTGACCAGATTCCTCTTGACTCCCTCCCAGAACAAGTGGGGCAGGTGCTGCAATTAATGTTGCCCCCTAGAAGATGTGTTTGCACTGGCTGAGCAAATATACGATGCAGAAACCTAAATGAAGACACGTGAATGGGGTGTGTGGACATCAGTTAGTAGCTGGGAAACAGGTGCCTCTCAGGCATCTCGTGTTCCAGCAAGTGTGGAATATGCCTGTGCCCATGAGTGTAGACATCTGAAGTGTATACATTTGGCTGCTGCTTTTGCTGCCACTATTCCCAGGCCCAACCTGGCTTAAAGTCCAGGTTTTAAGTAAAAAGTAGGAGGCTTTTTGCCATACAGCTACTTGAGAGGCTGAGGTGAAAGCATCACTGGAGCCTAAGAGATTGAGGCTGCAGTGACCCATGATTCAGCCACTGCACTGACACAGTGAGACCTGCGTGTGCCCTTCTACAGAGAATAGCTCTGGGGCATTTGGGGATCCCTACAGTCCCGGACCCTCCCTGTCCCCTGCTGCCTGTGCTCCTTTCCTTGCCTGCTGTCAGAGCCTAACATGGAGGCGGTTGCCACCCTGTGAGCCTGAGGGAGCTGTGTCTGACTGGAACTTCTGTCTGAGGTTTTGCGAAGTCTTACTTATGAATATGGTCTGTCCAGATACCTTGTTTCAAAGGAAGTGAGCATGAGATAGCAAGTGTAGCCACCCCACAGCTGATAAACAACTTTGTCTTGTTTTTAAATCATCAATCTTCATTTCACATTGGAATAAAGTAAGTGAAACCTGCTACCCGAGCCTCGCCCGTGTGTTCTGTAACCCAGACTCATGTGGTTGTGTGGGCTGTTGTCAGAAATGTTATAAAAAGGTTATGCATAAATTAGATCAAATATAAAATTATGCTTATAATGTCACTTGAGTGGGAGGTAAGAGGGTAGAGTCACAGGAAATCTGTTGGGGTTTACACCCCTGCTACTTACCAAGCTCATGAGAGTGTGGCACTGGTGACCATCACCTGACATTGGTGACAGAAGAGAAAAGGCCGAAGTGAAGGCCAGGTAGGAGAGAGGTGCCAGGCTGTGGGGCCAGGCCCTGCGCATGCTGGGCCTGTTAGGTCACTGAACATCTAACTACCCGGGAACCAGCTCTTTTCACATCATTTGAGGTAAGACGATGGGGGAGCACTCTCCAGAAGTCACACTGCGCTGGGAGAATGGAGGAGAGTCTACATACCGCCATCTTAGGGTAGGTTTTAGATTGAGCTGAACTGTCTTGGAGAGCTAATGAGATGGGAGGAAGACAGTCCCCCAGGTGCACCTAACAGCCAGAGCCTATGAAGTTATGGGGGTTGTGTGGGGGTGGCCTTTCCCTATAAGAGGAGGAGCTTAAAGCTCTTAAAGCTGGTGGCTGCTGCTCTGCCATCCCTCTACAGAGCAGTCAAGTCCTCAGCTGCAAGAATATCTGAATGTCTTTTGGAGTGTTAGAGTCCTCTGTGTCTTAGAAATTTTGAAAAGAAAAACAAATCTCAATTTTAATGTTGATTGGTTTCTCTGAGCCAGTTGGGAAAAAAGATGTCCTTCACCTCAAAGGTTTAAGTGACACCGAAGGGTAGCCACCAGTGTCTCGGCCACTGAAGCCTCATGCATGCTCTCACTACCAGTTTGATTTGCAGCCCCATAGTTGTGTTGTACTAAATATTCTTTCCTCTGGCCTTGTCCAGTGAACACGGTTCACATGGCTAACACCACTTCTTGAGATGCGAGCACCATGCAAAGCTGAGAACGGATTGGGTTTTGTGACCATTGTGCCTCCTCCTCACCTGAGAGGCCCATTTTTCCTGGTTGATTCATTAAGTGTATTGGTGCTGTCAGTCGCCTCTGGACAATTCAAATGACAAGTGGCTGTTGATTCATAAAGAAAATGAAGGCTTTAGATGTGAAACCCTCGTTTTCTCTTGTCCTTCTCTTAGGTGAAAGATTTTATTTTTTTCAAAAGGCTACATACTGGTATCCCAGCAGGTGTAGTGTGAGAACTGGCATATGTTAGGCTATGGTGTCAGTGTGGATGGGCAATTCTTCAAGATGGAAAACCAAGTCTCACTGAGTTGCTGGAGCCACAGTGACCTTTCTCCACATCCCCCACCGTGGGCTTTCACTTTTATCCTGTGCTTGAATTTTTTTCACATACAAATTCTTTATACACACACACAGACACACACACACATATCTCACTCTGTCAATGCAGTGGCTGAATCATGGGTCACTGCATCTTCAAATTCTTAGGCTCCAGTGATGCTTTCAAATCAGCCTCTCAAGTAGCTGGGACTACAGGCATGCAAAGCTACACCCAGACAATTTTTAAATATTTTTCTAGAGACTGAGCCTACTTATGTTGCTCAGACTCGTCTTGCACTCCTGGGATCAAGCGATAATCCCACCTTGACCACCCAAAGTGTTTAGATTACAGGTGTGAGCTAGCACTCTCAGCAAAAATATATTTTAAAGAACCGTTACAACCAAATTATGAGTTATCATTATGCCACTGCCCTCCACCCTGGGCACCAGAACAAGACCTTGTATCCAAAAACTAAGCAAAACTAAACAAGAACAAAAAAAAAAAACTTATAAATAAACTTTGAAGATTGTGTCATCTGTGTCCTTCCCTGCCCTCCAAGCTATCAATGTTAAATATAATGGTTATTGAGAAAATGGTTAGATATTATTAAGAAATTTCTATATATCTTCCAGCTGAGAATAGGTATTCTGTTGTGGCCCAAATATTTTCTCACCGCTACCTTCAGGGTCTAAACTAGCAAATCAGGACACCTGCAGAGGACAGTTGGCCGTTTTCAAATAGAAAGAGAAATACCCCCGTTCATGAGAGTAATCCAGTGATTTTCAAAAAGACAAGTCACACTGACATCCAGCGCAGTCAGGCCACAATTACCCTGGAATAATCACTTCACACAGAATGGTTGAGGAGACTTTCTAAGATGAGCAAATTTGGGCAGCATAATCCTTGCTTATTTATTCCCAGCCCCCACTGCCCGCCTGATTCCTAATGGCTACCCTACAATGTGGTCAGCAGTGGGATGTAGCGTGGTGAGAGAGGGGCTCAGGGACGGGATGAAGGTCTTTCCTGCATTATCAAAATGCAGGTTAAAAAGTTGTTAAAAAGATGTCCAAATGTTCTAATTCCTACTGTTAAATAGCTGCTAAGATGCATTATACAACAGACCCAGGTAAGGGAAGGAGCATGTGCATTTCAAGTCTCAGCTCACTTCTTAATTAGCTGTGATACTCTGGGCAGGTGACCCCAACTATACGAGCCTGTGTGCCTGTCAACCCAAAACAATCCTAAGCAAAAACACCAAAGCTTGGGGCATCTTGCTACCCGACTTCAAACTATACTACAAGGCTGCAGTAACCAAAACAGCACAGTACTAATACCAAAACAGATATATAGACCAATGGAACAGAACAGAGGCCTCAGTAATAACATCACACATCTACAACCATCTGATCTCTAACAAACCTGACAAAAACAAGCAATGGAGAAAGATTTACTACTTACCAAATGGTGCTGAAAGAACTGGCTAGCCACATTCAGAAAACAGAAACTGGACCCCTTCTTTACACCTTATACAAACATTATCTCAAGATGGATTAAAGTCTTAAATATAAAACACCAAACCACAAAAACCCTAGAAGAAAACCTAGGCAATACCATTCAGGACATAGGCATGAGCAAAGACTTCAGGAATAAAATACCAAAAGCAATCACAACAAAAGCTAAAATTGACAAATGAGATCTAATTAAACTAACGAGCTTCTGCACAGCAAAAGAATCTATCATCAGAGTGACCAGGCAACCTACAGAATGACAGAAAATTTTTGCAATCTATCCATGTGTCAGAGGTCTAATATCCAGAATCTACAAGGAACTTAATTTCACACACACACACAAAAAAAACATCAAAAAGTGAGTAAAGAATATGAACAGACTATTCTCAAAAGAAGACATTTGGCTGGGCGTGGTTGATCAAGCCTGTAATCCCAGGACTTTCAGCCATGGAGGCAGGTGGATCATGAGGTCAGGTGTTCAAGACTAGCCTGGGCAACATGGTGAAACCATGTCTCTACTAAAAACACAAAAAATTAGCATGGTGTTTTGGCGGGTGGCTGTGATTCCAGCTTCTTGGGAGGATAAGGCAGGAGAATCACTTGAACCTGGGTGGCAGATGTTGCAGTGAGCTGAGATCCTGCCACTGCACTCCAGCCTGGGTGACAGAGCTAGACTCCGTCTTTAAAATAATAATAAATAAAATAAATAAAAAGAAAAGGAAGAAGGAGAAGAAGAAGAGGAAGAAGAAGAAGAAGAAGAAGAAGAAGAAGAAGAAGAAGAAGAAGAAGAAGAAGAAGAAGAAGACATTTATGTGGTCAACAAACACACAAAAAGGAAAAAGAAAAAAGCTCATCATCACTGATGATTAGAGAAATGCAAATCAAAACCACAATGGGATACCATCTCACACCATTTGGAATGGCAGTTATTAAAATGTCAGGAACAACAGATGCTGATGAGGCTATGGAGAAATAGAAACGCTTTTACACTGCTGGGGGCGGGAGTGTAAATTACTTCAACCATTATGGAAGACAGTGTGGTGATTCCCTAAGTATCTAGAACCAGAAATACCATTTGACCCAGCAATCTCATTACTGGTTATATACCCAAAGGAATATAAATCATTCTAGCATAAAGACACATGCACTCATATATCTATTGCAGCACTGTTTACAATAACAAAGACTTGGAACCAACCTAATGCCCATCATTGATAGACTGGAAAAAGAAAATGTGGCACATATACACCATGAAATAATATTCAGCCATAAAAAGAATGAGTTCATGTCCTTTGCAGGGACGTGAATGACACTGGAAACCATTCTCTTCAGCAAACTAACACGGGAACAGGAAACAGAACACCGTATGTTCTCACTCATATGTGGGAGTTGAACAATGAGAACACATGGACACCGGGAACAAAACATCACACACTGGGGCCTGTTAGGGTGTTGAGGTCAAGGGGAGGGAGAAAATTAGGACAAATACCTAATGCATATGGGGCTTAAATCCTAGACGTCAGGTTGATAGAAGCAGCAAACCACCATGGCACATGTAAACCTATGTAACAAACCTGCACGTTCTGCACATGTATTCCAGAACTTAAAGTAAAACAAACTAACAAAAATGCACTAAGGCTGAGGGGGAGTGGGGGTAGGGGCAGGAGTCAGGCGGGGGTGGGTGAGTCCTGGAGTTTTATCCAGTCATTGACACTGATGTGGGAACAGCCCAATCAGGCGCGCAGTTGGAGAGGACAGGAGAGGAGGGCGTGGCTTCTGGCGTTTGGCGGGTCTTTGTCTCTCGCTGGCGCTGGCACAGGAACTTGGGATCCGTCTCCTCTTTCGCCTCCTCCGCTTTGGGAGCCCCGGGCTACTCTTTCACAGCCCCTGTTGCCCTGTGATCTGTAGGTCCTTGGGGACGCACAGTTAAGATGACAGGACATCCTGGAAGCTGGGAAATGGTGAGTATACGGGGTTCGGCATCCCGAGAGGGGAGAGCAGGCTGTGAAACCGGCAGGACCGGCCCCCACGGTTAGCTCCGAGTCTCCCGCAGCTTGGCCCTCAGTCCCCTGTGGCTGCAAGATGGCCGCTGGGCCAGCATCGAGGACCCCCACATCCGGCCTGGCCCATCCGGTGCTGTCCCTGGGCAGCGCCCTGCTCTGCGCCCACAGCCATGAGTATTTCCCAGATTGTTCAGGGAGGCCTGGTGGGTCATCAGGGAAAAACTGCCACTGGGTGTTTGCGTGGGAGGAGCTGCGGCCCGTGGGGTCCCCAGTCTCTCTTGTTAAAAATTAACGGGAGTCTATGTTAAAACGTTAACCAGTTTATCTGAACAAACAGTGATTGGTGAAATGGAAAGCACCCAGCCATGATTTCTGGTCCACCAGAGGGGCATAAAGGAAAGGCTTTCATAAGATGCATGAGAAAGCAGCCCAAATTCAAAAATTGGTTCCAGTTATGTAGTCACCTTATTTGAACTATCCAGATGGAAATGTCCTGGTTACATATTCAGAGGTTAATTGCATGTTTGCCATTGGTTAAACGTGCATTTTGTTTCAGGCTAAGATAATGCTTTATAGGAAATGTATTTGAGTTAGGTTTTAGTTTTTGTTTTTTTTTTTTTAACCTATGAACCCAGGACACTAGAGCCACTTTAGTCTAATTTTCTGCTCTTTAATTATTTTAACACTCCAGAGGAGGACTGGTTTTCTCCTGTGTTTTTTTAATATATGGCAAGTGGAACCTCTAATCGACCACCCTGTTTTTCAGCCTAACTCAGGCTTGTGGTAAAATTATCAGTTCCCACTTTCTTTGCTGCATTCTCAAATGCAACACAGGAGAACAGCTTTCCCTTGCAAATTCACAATGCTGTTAACTATTTGTCCTTTATTATACATTTCATTAAAGTTTTCTATTATTGGATTTCTTTCTACTTCTCCCTACAGTTCTGCCCATATTTGCTTTTTATATTTAGAAGCCTCCCTTTTGGGTGCATAAATATATATAGCTATATTCACTTGACAAATTAACCTCTATTATTATTGTATGGTAAACTCATTTCATGCTTGTGAGAGACATTGCTAGAAAGTCTATTTTGTCTAATTTAAGCATAACTACCATTGAACTCCTTTGGCTATTATTTGCATGGAATATCATTTTCTATCCTTTCACTTTTAGCCTATGCTCTTAATTCATAATTGAGTCTCTTGTAAGCAGCATATTACGAGGTTTAAAAGTTTCATTTATCCACTCTGTCTGCTTTAGTCTCTTTTGGCTGTTATAACAGAATATCACAGACTGGTAATTAATAAAGAACAGAATTTTATTTGACTCATGATTCTGGAGGCTGGGAAGGTAAAAGAACATGTTACTGGTATCTGTTGAAGGTCTAGTTGCTGGATAATAACATGGCCAAAGATGTGAGGGAGAGACAGCTTTTTTTTTTTTAATATATAACAGATCCATTCTTGTTAAAATTAGCCCATTCCCATAATAAGAACATTAATCCATTCATGAGGGCAGAGTGCTTATAGCTTAATTAATTTTTAAAGGTTCCACCTCTTAATTCTTTCACATTGGCCATTTTATCCTAAATTTTGGAGATGACATTCAGTCTACAGAAGTATCTGTTTAGTAGATAATTTAATCTTTTTATTTGTAAGGTAGTGATAAGTAAGCAGTTACTATTGTACATTTGTAGTTTTCTGTCCATTTTAAGTTTGCTTCTTTTTTTTCTGGTTCTGTCTTTCCTGTGGTATTGTTCATTTTTGTTGAGACAAAGTTATGCTTTCTTGCTCAGACTGAAGTTCAGTGGCATATCACAGCTCACTGTAGCCTCAATCTCCTGGGCTCAAGCAATCCTCCCCCCTTAGCCACCCAAGTAGCTTGGACTACTTGGACACGTACCACAACACCCAAGGAGCTTATGATTCTTCCACCTTGGCCTCCAAAAGTGTTGGAATTATAAGCAGGAGCCACTGTATCCAATGTGTAATTTTTGTTGTTTGTGTATGCTTTAATTACTTTCTCTTTTTCTTTACTATGTTTTTTTTTCCCCCAGTGGTTATCATGAGACTTATGTAAAACCTCTTGTATTTTAATAGTCTAGTTTAAGATGATAACAATTTAGAGTATTCTGAATTTCAGTATGTATTTACCATTTTTAGTGACATTTATACTTTAGTATTTTTCATATTGTTAGTTAGCATTTCATCATATCAATGTGAAGATTTCTTCCAGACCATGGCTGGAGAAGGAAAGAAGGTGTGTTTTGCCTGATTCAGGGACTATAGAGAGAACCAAGTTCTGCAGGCCTGTCACCTAAGTCTCAGATGAGTATGAATTCTTTTGTGTTTTTCACAGATTTTTGCAGTGGCAGGACCAAGTTCAAATGAGTCATAGCCAAGTTTACAGTAAGATGTGGTAGTATTCTGTTTTGAACCGAGGACCATGATTGGCAAGCTTGCCACTTGGTCAAGTGCTTACCCTCTAAAGATGTCTTCCTTGGTCTTTGCCTCCAGCTGGGTGTCACAAACTCTGAACTGGATTCTAAGGCTTTCATGAATGCACTTATGTTTCCCGTGGCAGCTGCATTATGTTGTGGGGGATGTGCATGCCGAACCTCCCATTCTGTCATCTTGCTTATGTTACTCTCCTTTATGTTTCACTTTCTCAAATGAATGTCAAGCTGGTGATTTTTAGATTCAAAAATTCTAAAATAAATTGCTCAAATTTCCACATTATGTAAGCTATTAATAAAATGTCTTGTAGGTGCTACATATTTATTAAAATTTTTGGTTGTAATTTTAAGCTCACTGCAGGCAGAAAGGAATCATTAACATTTATATTCTTTTTTTTAGTCTGTATCTAAATGATGGCATATTTTAATTCCAGATATTTACTTTATACTGCAGTAATGCTCGTCATATTTTGCAAAATTTATGTTGTTCTTTTATTTGGAAATATAAGGCTTTTTTAGCTCCTGAAATCTATATTATAGTCATATAATTTTATTATGTTTTGTGGTAAGAAGTGCAGCAACATATTGAGAACATAATAAAATTATCCTGTATTTTTAATGATTATTTATTAAATTCCTCTCATTAGAGCCTGTTATTAATGATTGTAATGTATTTTCTGTATAATTTTACTGCAATTTATTAAATTCTAATGACTTAAATTGTCTGCTTTTCATGAGTGCACACAGTTGAATGCTGTAGATATCTAAAGAATTATTTTTCGGCCGGTTGTGGTGGCTCATGCCTGTATTCCCAGCACCTTGGGAGGCCAAGGCGGGTGGATCACGAGGTCAGGAGATCGAGACAACCCTGACTAACATGGTGAAACCCCGTCTCTACTAAATATACAAAAAATTAACCGGGCATAGTGGCAGGCGCCTGTATCCCCAGCTACTCAGGAGGCTGAGGCAGGAGAATGGCGTGAACTCAGTGGACAGAGTTTGCAGTGAGCCGAGATCGCGCCACTGCACTCCAGCCTGGGCAACAGGGCAAGACTCTGTCTCAAAAAAAAAATAAAAAAAAAAACGGTTATTTTCCATTGTAAATCTATGTTGTATTCAGGATTTTATGCACGAAAATCTCTCTTCTTATTTTCAAGTCCGTGTTATTGTGTTTCTTTTCTTGGGAGTTATGTTTTCTCAGATCAGTTAAATGTATTTTTATTTTAAAGCTTGATATCATCAGTTGAAAGATAATTTTTAGCTCGGTACACTTTATCTCAATGTGATGTTTAATATATGTGTGAATTAGCTGTGTTTGTTGCTTATAGATATATCTGTATGTTTTTCACTTATGTAAGTATGACATCTTTTTCCTTGTTTTTTTGTTTTTTTCTTTTCAGTTTCAGATAGGCTTTTTTTTTTTTTTTAAGAGAATTTTAAAACAGAGTCGAAAGAAGAGAAATCAGTTATTTGTCCTCTTGCAGGGTGGGGAGACAACTTCCTTCCCCACAGGTTTGAGGCTATGCCTAAGTGGTGAGTCTTGAGGAGATGCAGAAAGGATCCATCCCAGGCACTTGGCTGGACTTAAGTAAGCATAGCCTTTAGGCCACAAGACCTGATGGTTTGGGTACTGGTCTGGACATAAGTCCCCATCTTCCCAGAAATATCGTCTTTTGTCTGCAACAACTGGCTGGAGAAATATTTCAGAAAGATATGTGTCTGGAACACCCAAAGGCATACTTTTCCTTTCTCCTTGGCATAGGCCTTGCAGCACTGAAGAAAGACCAGGTTTGCAATGGAGCCTTCAACAGTCTTCATCCCTATGGAACTCAGGGTCTCATAGGGTGACAGGAGAGGAGACAAAGCTAACTTGGGAAGAGTCTCTGTCCTTCAGCTTCTCCCCTACTGAAACACTATATATTGGGCCCACAGTTCATCACAAAACACACATGCTCTCTTTCTTTCTCTCACACCCACATCTTGGGAACCCAAAAACTTGATGGCAGGTAGCTCTGGGTATCCTTGGTCTGGCATTCACCCACTGGGAATCTAAGCTGTCCTAAAGCTCTTTTCAATCACTTCTCACTGTTTCCAGGCCCATGTGGGTAGGTGTTCCAGGCTTCATTCTTTCAGGCTGATCATAAAGGCACAGTGTGGGAAAATCCCCTACTGTGATGGCCATTGCTGGGAAGCAGGAAAGGCTAAGGGCCCACTGCTGCCCAAGGCTAGTATAGATGCCCTCTGCTCCACTCATGTCCTCAAAGACTGATATCAGGTGCAGCAGCTGCTGTCTGGAATGTTATCAAACCAGGACTGCACAGGCACTGCATTCTCTGTGTGGAAGACGTAAGAAGCAGGCGAGTTGTCCAGGATGAGAGTTTTCCTCAGGTCCCTCCCCAGATGGCTGAGGTCATTGACATAGCAGCCCTGGTGGAACAAACGTGACTCATGGGCTAGGCAACCCCAGAACACCTCACACTGGTCCAGCACACCCATCACAATGTGTCTGGAATTGGTGGGTTCTTGTTCTCACTGACTTCAAGAATGAAGCCACAGACCCTCACGGTGAGTGTTACAGTTCTTAAAGGTGGCATGTCTGGAGTTTGTTCCTTCTGACATTCGGATGTGTTGAGAGTTTCTTCCCTCTGGTGGGCTCGTGGTCTCGCTGGCTCAGGAGTGAAGCTGCAGACGTTCGCGGTGAGTGTTACAGCTCTTAAGGTGGCACATCTGGAGTTGTTCATTCCTCCAGGTGGGTTCGTGGTCTCGCTGGCTTCAGGAGTGAAGTTGTGGACCTTCACAGTGAGTGTTACAGCTCATAAAGGCATTGTGGACCCAAAGAGTGAGCAGCAGCAATATTTATTGCAAAGAGCAAAAGAACAAAGCTTCCACAGTGTGGAAGGGGACCCGAGTGGGTTGCCACTGCTGGCTGGGGCAGCCTACTTTTATTCCCTTATCTGGCCCCACCCACATCTTGCTGATTGTTAGAGCCGAGTGGTCTTTTTTCACAGGGCGCTGATTGGTGTGTTTACAATCCCTGAGCTAGACACAAAGGTTCTCCACATCCCCCCCAGTGTAGCTAGATACAGAGTGTTGATTGGTGCATTCACAAACCCTGAGCTAGACACAGGGTGCTGGTTGGCATGTTTACAAACCTTGAGCTAGATACAGAGTGCCGATTGGTGTATTTACAATCCCTGAGCTAGACACAAAGTTTCTCCACGTCCCTACCAGACTCAGGAGCCCAGCTGGCTTCACCCAGTGGATCCCCCACAGGGTCTGCAGGTGTAGCTGCCTGCCAGTCTGGCACTGTGCACCCGCACTTCTCAGCCCTTGGGTGGTTGATGGGACTGGGTGCTGTGGAGCAGGGGGCGGCACTCATCCAGGAGGCTTGGGCACACAGGAGCCCACCGATGGGGGGGAGGCTCAGGCATGGCGGGCTGCAGGACCCAAGCCCTGCCCTGTGGGATGGCAGCTAAGGCCCAGCGAGAAATTGAGCACAGCAGCTGCTGGCCGAGGTGTTAAGCCCCTCACTGCCTGGGGCCGGTGGGGCCAGCCGGCGGCTCCGAGTGTGGGGTCCGCCGAGCTCGCGCTGGCCTTCAAGCACTGCACGCCGCCCTGGTTCCCACACGCACCTCTCCCTCCACACCTCGTCGCAAGCTGAGGGAGCCGGCTCCGACCTTGGCCAGCCCAGAAAGGGGCTCCCACAGTGCAGCGACAGGCTGAAGGGCTCCTAAAGTGCCGCCAAAGTTGGAGCCCAGGCAGAGGAGGCCCGGAGAGTGAGCAAGGGTTGTGAGGACTGCCAGCACGCTGTCACCTCTCAACAGGATCTGCATACTTGTTCAGTCTGGAATGAAGAGAGCAATGAAGAAAACACATTTAAACAGTTCCTCCAGTCATCTCAGGAACTCATCCATATAAGGCCTCATGGTCCCCTCAATCTTTACAGTCACTAGGCAGTCAGCATTGCTGATTGGCTTAATGGAGCTATGCACAAGGGTTTCATCCATGTCAGTGACCATACAGATCGTTCCTTGATTTTTCTCTGTCACCTCTGGGAGCAGGCAGGTCCCTGGGATCTGATAAAACTGATACTGGAGACCCTTGAGCTGATCCGACTTAGCAATGGTGTTGACTCCCTCCTTATGTGTGGAGAACTCAGTGGGGGAACTTGACTTGCCAACATGCTGGGTGCAAGAACAGCAGAAAGGTACCTTCTAAGATGTCACAAACATGAGGCCTCTTCGGAGAGCACTTTGGAAACCAGGCCTTGCTTGCTAAGGACCAGGGCATCTTCCCTCCATGCCTGGGTGGTGATGGAGCCTGGTTCCATCTAACAATCCTGAGGGCTCGGCTGGCTGGGTGGGAAGACAGCGGGCACGTTGGCTGGACTGGGCTGGGGGGCATGGGCTGGGGCCTGATTCAGTTCCCGAGAGTCTGACTTCCACAGCTGTTCACATACCCCTTCTCCTTTCCATCACAGGCCGGGAAGGGAGGCGGCCTGTATGGACGGTGGATGGCCTTGGCAGCAGCTCCCCAGGGTGCCCCCAGCCCCAAATCCCCCAGCAGGAGCTTCAGGATCCTCAGTTTGGGTCTAACCTAGGGAATCCACCTCATACTCATGTTTTTTCAAGTTTTATTTTAAGTTCAGTGGTCCATATGTGATAAGCTTTTTTTTCAACTTTTATTTTAAGTTTAGGGGTCCATGTGCAGGATATGCAGGTCTCTTACATAGATAAACGTGTGCCATTGTGCTTTACTGCACAGATCATCTCATCACCCAGGTACTAAGCCCAGCATCCGCAGCTATTCTTCCTGCTGCTCTCCTTCCCCTCCCCCATGCCATGAAACAGGTGTCCAGTGTGTGTTGTTCTTCCTGATGTGTCCATGTGTTCTCATTGATCTGCTTCTGCTAATAAGTTAGAATAATAATAGGTGGTGTTTGGTTTTCTGTTCCTGCATTAGTTTGCTGGGAGTAGTGGCTTCAAATTCCAACCATGTCCCTGCAAAGGACATCATCTCATTACATTTTATGGCTTCATAGTGTTCCATGGTGTATGTGTACCACATTTTCTTTATCCAGTATATCATTGATGGGCATGTAGATTGATTACATGACGTTGCTATTGTAAATATTGCTGCAATGAACATATGTATACATGTTTATTTAAAATAGATTTATATTCCTTTGGGTGTATGCCCAGTAATAGTATTGCTGGGTCAAATGGTATTTCTGCTTCTAGGTCTTTGAGGAATCTCCACACTCTCTTCCACAATGCTTGAAATAATTTACAATCCCACCAACAGTGTAAAAGTGTTCCCTTTTCTCCACAACCTCACCAGCATCTGTTTTTATTTCTTTTTTACTTTTTATTAATAGACATTGTAATTGGTGTGAGATGGTATCTCATTGTTGTTTTGATGTGTATTTATCCACTTATCAGTGATGTTGAGCTTTCCATGTTTGTTGGGCACATGTATGTCTTCTTTTGAGATATGTCTGTTCATGTCCTTTGACCACTTTTTAATGGGGTTGTTTGTTTTTCTCTTGTAAATTTTAAGTCCCTCATAGATTCTGGGTATTAGATATTTGTCAGATGAATAGGTTGCAAAATTTTTCTCCCATTCTCTAGCTTCTCTGCTCTGATGATAGCTTCTTTGGCTCTGTGGAATCTCTTTAGTTTAATTAGACCCCATTAGTCAATTTTTGCTTTTGTTGCTATTTCTTTTGGTCTTTTTGTCATCAAATCTTTCCTCATGACTATATCCTGAATGGTATTTTCTAGATTTTTTCTTCTAAGGTTTTTATAGTTTTGGGTTTTACATTCAAGTCTTTAATCCATCTTGAGTCAATTTTTGTCTATGGTGTTAGGAAGGGTTCCAGTCTTAATTCTCTGCACATGACTAGCCAGTTATCCTAGCACTATTTATTGAATAGGGAGACTTTTCCCTAATTCCTTGTTTTTGTTGACTTTGTCAAAGATCAGTTTGTTGTAGGTTTTTGGCTTTATTTCTATGCTCTCTATTTTGTTTCATTTGTCTATGTGTCTGTTTCTATACCAGTACCATGCTGTTTTTGTTACTGTACTCTTCTAGTACAGTTTGAAGTTAGGCAATGACCCTTTCAGCTTTTTTTTTTTTTTTTTCTTAAGGTTGGCTTGGCTATTTGGGCTCTTTTTTGGTTCCATTTTAATTTTAAAAAGTTTTTTTTTTCTAATTATCTGAAGAATGTCAGTAGTTCAATGGGAACAGCATTGAATCTATAAATTACTTAGGGCAATATGCTCATATTCGTGGTACTGATTCTTTCTCTCCGTGAGCATGGAATGTTTCTCCATTTGTTTTGTGTCCACTCTGATTCCTCTGAGTAGTTGTTTGTAGTTCTCCTTGAAGATATCCTTCACTTTCCTTCTTAGCTGTATTCCTTGGTATTTTTTTCTCTTTATAGCAAATGTGAATGAAAGTTCATTCATGATTTGTCTCCCTGCTTGCCTGTTGCTTGTGTATGGGAATGCTAGCTACTTTTGCAGATTGATTTTATATCCTGAGATTTTGCTACTGCTGCTTATCACCTTAAGAAGCTTTGGGGCTGAGACGAAGAGGCTTTCTAGATATAGGGTCAGGTCATCTGTAAACAAAGATAATTTGACTTTCTCTCTTTCTATTTGAATACTGTTTATTTCTTCCTCTGGCCTGATTTTCCTGGACAAGTTTTCCGAATGGGAGTTGTAATGCGAGTGGTGAGAGAGAGCATACTTTTCTTGTGCCGGTTTTCAGGGGGAATGTTTCCAGCTTTTGCACATTCAGTATGATATTGGCTGTGGGTTTGTTGTATATGGCTCTTCTTATTTTGAGGTATGTTTCTTCAGTTCCTAGTTTATTGAGAATTTTAAACGTGAAGGAATGTTGAATTTTATTGGGTGCTTTTTCTGCATCTATTGAGGTAATCATGTGTTTTTTTTATTTAGTTTTCTTTATGTGATGAGTCACATTTGTTGATTTGCATATGTTGAATCAACCTTGCATCCTGGGGACAAAGCCAATTCCATTGTGGTGGATGCACTTTTTAATGTGCTGCTGGGTTTGGTTTGCCAGTATTTTATTGAGGATGTTTGCACAGTGTTCATCAAAGACATTGGCATGATGTGTTGTTGTTGTTGTTGTTGTATCTATGTTAGGTTTTGGTATCAGGATGATGCTGGCCTGATAGAATGAGTTAGACAGAACTTCTTTGTCTTCAATTTTTTTTGGATAGTTTTAGGAGAAAATGTACTATCTCCTCTTTACCTCAAGTCAAATTCAGCTTGCTTGGTAGGCTAGTTCTTACTGCCTCAATTTCAGAACACATTATTGATCTATTCAGGGTTCAGTCTTGTGGAGAGTTTATTTTGCAAGGAAATTGTCCATTTCTTCTAGATTTTCTGGTTTATGAGCATAGAGGTGTTTATAGTATTCTCTGATCATTGTTCTTATTTCCATGGGATCAGTGATGATATCTCCCTTATTATTTCTATTTGTGTTTGGTTCTTTCTTTTCTTATTTATTTGCCTAACTAGTGTTCCATCTAGTTTATTAATTTTTTTTTTTTTTTTTTCATAAAAACAGCTCCTGGATTGGTTGAGTTTTTTTTTTTTTTTTTTTTTTTTGGAAGAGTTCTCAGTGTCTCTATCTCCTTCAGCTCTACTCTGATCTTGGCTATTTCTTGTTTTCTGCTAGCTTTCAGGTTTGTTTTCACTTGGTTTTCTTGTTCTTTTAATCAAGATGTTAGGCTGTTAACTTCAGATCTTTCTAATTTTTTTTTTTTTCTTGTGGGAGAGTTTCACTCTGTCACCCAGACTGGAGTACAGTGGCATAATCTCGGCTCACTGCAACCTCCTCTTCTCGGTTTTAAGTCACTTCTGCTGTCTCAGCCTCCTGAGTAGCTGGGATTACAGATGTGAATCACCACACCTAGCTAATTTTTGTATTTTTTTGTAGAGATATGGTTTTGCTGTTGGTCAGGCTGGTCCTGAACACCTGGTCTCAAGTGATCTGCCTACCCCAGCCTCCCAAAGTGCTGGAATTACAGGCATGAGCCACCATGACTGGCCCTTTCTAGCTTTTTGATGTGGACATTAGTGCTATAAATTTTCCTCTTTTCTTGGTTTCTAGTGATTATTTTATTCTATCTTGGTGAGTAGTCAGGGAAATAATCTTAAATTTACAATCAACTTATAGTTTAAATCTAAAAAATTATGTGAGAAGAACCCTTTGTTATTTGAAGGGGATGTTTGAAGATTTTGTAACCGTGCCTTTTAGGTAGTCCTAAATTTCTAATTGTAGTTAAAAACATGCCATTTTCATTTCTAACATTTTAAGTATATGGTTTAGAAGTGGTAAGTATAGTTCTATTTTTTTTGCAATAGGTTTTAGATAATTTTTGTCTTACAAAATTAAAAGTGAATACTCATTAATTCTGAAACAAGTTAGTTAGCTTGCTTTAGTTAGATAGCAAGAGAAGGGTCCCTGGAAAGTCCCTGGCCCTTGGGTCAGTATCTCATCCCTGCATAACATAAAAGGAATCCTGGAAAAAATCAAGCTGCAGACACTAACAAGGTAACTAGCACATGGTGTTGTGCTTGGAGACCTGCCCATGGCTGCCCAGACAGAAAAACCTCTGGCCCATTTGGATAAAAACTGGTACAAACCTCCAGCTCACTGAGATAAGGGAACAAGACCGACCTGGCATAGAATTGCCTTTGTTTGGCCAGGCATGGTGGCTCATGCCCGTAATTCCAGCAATTTGGGCGGAAGTGGACGGATCACCTGAGGTCGGGAGTTCGAGACCAGCATGACCAACATGGAGAAACCCTGTCTCTACTAAAAATACAAAATTAGCCGGGCATGGCGCCTCATGCCTGTAATCCCAGCTACTTGGGAGGCTGAGGCAGGAGAATCACTTACATCCAGGTGGCGGAGTTTGCTGTGGGCCGAGATCGCACCACTGCACTCCAGCCTGGGCAACAAGAGCAAAACTACGTCTCAAAATAAATAAATAAATAAATAAATAAATAAATAAATAAATAAATAATAAGAAAGTACATCTCAAAAAAAAAATGAAAGAAAGAAAGAAAAGAAAAAGAAAAAAAGAAACGCCTTTGTACTTTGTGCAGTCAGTGCGCTCCCAGGAAAATGTTTCTTCTCCTTCTGTGGGCATAAGCACAGTGGGCTCTGGTGCATTCCGGTCGACACTCTCCTTTATTTGGACTGTAAGTCTGACCTCTGTGAATAATTACTTCAGCCCCTGATTGCTCCCGGGACAAGCTCCTGCGCCAAGCTTTCACTTTGGCTTCTGATAAGTCCTGGGCCAATCTAAATAGCATGTATGAATCATCCCTTCAGCTCCTGATTGGTCCCGGGCCAAAGTCCTGGGCCAAGCTGAGCCACACTTTTTTCAAGACAGCCTGTGAACTAAGCACATTTCCTTCTCTTCCTTTCCCAGTCCATAAAAACCTTGGGCCCCAGCCTCACAGAGGTCACCCCATTCAGAAACTATCTCTGCTGGCAAAGAGCTTTCTTCTCTTGCTTATCAAACTTTCACTCTAACCTCACCTTTGTGTTCACGCTCCTTAATCTCCCTAGAAGTAGAACAAAGAACTTTCGATGCTATCTCAGACTATGAGAGACTGTTACATCTTGGTGCACTGCTGAGACTACAACACTTGGTTTCTTTGAGTTTGACTAAATATTTTACATAGGTGTAATTATACAGTTTTCCTTTTTGACTGTCTTGTTTTACTTAACAGAATGTTTTCGAGATTTGTCCTTATTGTAGTACTTTTCAAGATTTCCTTATTTTTAAGGCTGAATGCTATCCCAGTGAATATACGTGCCCTGTTTGTTGAATCTACTCATCCTTAAAGGTACATTTGCTTCCAGGTAGTATGTTTGTGAGTAATGCTACAGTGTACATAAATGTGCATATATCTATTCCATGTTCTGCTTTGCCTGTTTGGGATATTTTTCACACACTGATTTAGTACCATGTGTATTCCCTTGCTTTTGTTGTCTGATTCGTTGATGTTACATCCCCCAAATTATTGCCGAGACCAATTGTCATGAAGCTTCACCCTTCTGTATTGTGCTAGGAATTTTACAGCTATAGATTTTACATTATAGTCTTCATATTTTAAAATTGACACATGTAATTGTACAAATTTTGGGGAAACAATTATGTATATATGTTGTATAGCAATAAAAATCAGAGTACTTAGTGTAATTATTGCCTCATACATTTGTTATTTTTGTGGTGAGAACATTCAAAAGCTTCTTCTCTAGCTATTTTTTTATATCTTTATATATTAACTTTTTTTAGAGACAGGATCTTGCTCTAACACACAGATTGGAGTGCAGTGGTGCAATCCTAGCTCACTGTAACCTCAAACAATCTTCTAACCTCAGCTTCCCAATTAGCTGAGACTACAGGAACCTGCCTCCATGCCTGGATAATGTTTTAATTTTTCATAGAGACAGGGTCACACTATGTTGTCCAGGCTCATCTTGAACTTCTGACGTCAAGTGATTCTCCTACCTCATTCTCCCAAAATGTATGGATGGCAGGAATGTGCCACCACAACTGGTCTCTTTTAGCTATTTTGTAATTTGAGATAACTTTTCATTAATTATTATTATTCTGCCGTGTAACAAAAAACAAAAACTTATTTCTCCTATCTAATTGTAACACAATACTTTTGAAGCTGCCTTTTCCCATCTCCCTGCTTCAGTCTCTGGGAACCCCTGTTGTACTCTTTGCTTATATCAACCCTTTTTTTCAGGTTCCTCAAATGAGTGAGATAATAAGATCATAAAGTATTTGTGTTTCTCTATGTGGCTTATTTTACTTAACATGGTATGCTCAAGGTTCATCCATGCTCTTTTAACTGACAGAATTTTATCCTTTCTTATAGCTGAATAGTATTTCACTGTGCATATATAGTACATTTTCCTTATCCATTTATCTGTTGCTGTACATTTGAATTGATTCCATATATAAGCTATTATAACTAGTTCTGTAACTAACATGGAAATGCAAATATCTTTTTGACACAGTGATATCCTTTCTTTTGTATATACATGCAGGAGTAAAATTGCTGGATCATGTAATACATCTATTTTTAATTTCTTTCAGAAACCTCCATAGTATTTTCTATAGTGGCCATACTAATTTACAATTCCACCAACAATGTATACATTCACTCATTTTATATCCTCATTAGTACTTGTTTTATTTATTTATTTATTTTTATTATAGCCATTCTAAATGGGAGTGAGGCGGTACCTCATTGTGGTTTGGATTTTCATTTCCTTAGTGATTAGTAATGTAGAACATATTTTTATGTTCCAGTTAGCCATTTTTGTATCACTTTTTGACAAACATCTATTAAGATGTTTTGCATTTTTTAATTAGATTATAAGTGTATTTTATTTTGAGATTTTAAAGTTTCTTATTTATTCTGAATATTAGCCTTTTGTCATATGTATAGCCTGAAAGCATTTTCTTTTATTGCCTAAGCTGTCTCTTCAATCTTTTAGTTTTTTTAATATGGAAAAGCATTTTAGTTTGACATAATGTTGTTTGCTTATTTTTGATTTTGTTGCCTATGTTTTGACATGTTATTTTAATAATCCTTTCCCCGTCGAATGTTATAAAGCATTTTTTAGTTTTTCTCTAATAGTTTCATAATTGATAGCATTACATTTAAGTCTTTAGTTTGAATTGATTTTCATATATGGCAAGGCACAGGGGTCTAGTATAATTTTTCTGAATTTAAATATTTAAATGGCCCTGCATCATTTATTGAAGAAATTAGCTTTTCCCTAAAGTGTGTTCTTGGCAATTTTGTTGACAATCAGTTGGCTTTAGGTGCATAAACTAACTTCTGGGCTTCTTGGGCACATTAGTCTATGTGTTTGTTTTTATGCCAGTACAGTGCTGTTTTGGTTACTATAGCTTTGTAGCAAGTTTTGAAGTTTGATAAAGTGATGCCTTTAGCTTTGCTTATTTTGCTCAAAGTTATTTGTCTATTCAGAGTTTTTTGTGGATCCACATAAATTTAAAATATTTTTTCTATTTCTGTGAAAAAATGTCATTGATATTTTGATAAAAATCACGTTAGTCTCTAGATCACTTTGGGTAATTAACAGTATTCTTCCAGTGTATAAACACAAGATTTTTTCATTTATTCATTTGTATTTTATATTTTTTATCCATGTTTTGTCATTTTCAGAGTAGAGATCTTGTACCTTTTAAGTTAAGTTTGTTGCTAGGTGTATTAGTCGGGCTCCCTAGAGAGATCACAAGATCTCACAATAGGTTGTCTGCAAGTTTTAGGAGCAAGGAGAGGCAGTCCACGTCCCAAAGCTGAAGAACTTGGAGTCTGGTGTTTGAGGGCTGGAAACGTCCAGCACAGGAGAAAGATGTAGACTGGGAGCTTAGGCCAGTCTCTCCTTTTTACGTTTTCCTGCCTGCTTTATATTCATTGGCAGCTTATTAGATGGCGCTCACCCAATTAAGAGTGGGCCTCCCTTTCCCAGCCCATTGACTCAAATGTTAATCTCGTTTGTCAACACCCTCACAGGCACACCCAGGATCAATGCTTTCTATCCTCCAATCCAATCAATTTGACAGCCAGTATTAACCATCACATTAAGTATTTTAATTTTTGTACCTTTTGCTTATGCAGAAGAAACGTTGGATGAAATTCAACATTCATTATGATGAAAACTCTCAACAAATTAGGAATAGAAGTTATGTTTCTCAACACAATAAAGGCCATTTATGACAAAGCAATGCTAACATTATACTGAATAAGGAAAAGCTGAAAGCTTTCTCTCTGAGATCCGGAACAAGACTAATCATCCCCACTTTCAGACCTCTTATTCAACATAGTACTGGAAGTCTTAGCCAAGGACATTATGCAAGAGGTAGAAATAAACTCATACTAATAGGAAAGGATGAAGTCAAATGGTCTCTGATTGTGGACAAAATAATCTTATATGTGAAAAACTCTAAACACTACACCAAAACCTAATAGAACTACTAAACAAATTCTGTAACATTGCAGAAAATCAACAGAGTAGCAGCTTTCTGTATGCTGATAGCAAAATATCTGAAAAATAAAGTTTAAAATTCCATTTTAATAACTAACAAAAATTAGTTATTTTGAGTTTATTTCTTTATATGAGGTGGAGTCTTTCTCTGTCACCAGGCTGAAGCACAGTGGTGTGATCTCCGCTCACTGAAACTCTTGCCTCCCGGGTTCCAGAGATTCTCCTGCCTCAGCCTCCTGAGTGGCTGGAACTATAGGCGTGTGCCACCACCGCCAACTAATTTTTGTTTGTATTTTTAGTAGAGACGTGGTTTCCCCATGTTGGCTAGGATGGTCTTGATCTCCTGACCTTGTGATTCACTTGCCTCAGCCTCCCAAAGTGCTGGGATTACAGGTGTGAGCCACCACACCCGGCCTTGAGTTTATGTTTTTATTGGTGCAAGGTAAGGTGTAACTTTGTTATTTTTTCCTTGTAAATTTTTATTATTCTCAATACTGTTTGTTGAAGAGACTGTTCTTTCCTTATTGTGAATTCTTGGAACAGTTTTTAAAAATAAGTTTACTAAACCCATGATGTCTTATGTCCGAACACTCATCTGTTTCATCATTCATTTGTCTTTCTGTCAGTACCAAACAGTTTTGATTACTATACCTTTATAGTATGTTTTGAAATTAGAAAGTATGATGCCTCTATCTTTATATTTTTTTCCCAATATTATTTGGCTGTTTGCAATCACTTGAAATTCCATAAAAATTATAGAATATTTTAAAACTTCTGCAAAAAGTTTCATTGGTATTTTGATAGAAAGTATATTGAATCAACTAGGGGTGGTGGCTCATGCCTGTAATCCCAGCACTTTGGGAGGCTGAGGAAGGTGGATCACCTGAGGTCAGGAGTTCGAGACCAGCCATGGAGAAACCCCATCTCTACTAAAAATACAAAATTAGCCAGGTTTGGTGGCACTTGCCTGTAATCCCAGCTACTCAGGAGGCTGAGGCAGGAGAATGGCTTGAACCCAGGAGGTGGAGGTTGCAGTGAACTGAGATCACACCATTGCACTCCACCCTGGGCAACAAGAGCAAAAACCCATCTCAAGATAAAAAGAAAGAAAAGAAAAGAAAGAGCATTGAATCAGTTAACCACTTTCGGTAGTAGTGACATGTTAACAATATTAAGTCTATAACCTCTTGAACAAGAGTGTGTTTGAGAATTTGTTGTTTAATTTTTACTTATTCTTTGACATGCTAGTGTTTTTAACTTCTTGTTTTATTGTATCATAGTTAGCAATAATTTTGTAATTCCATCTGCTTAAATTTGCTAAGATTCATCTTTTAACTTAACAGGTGGTCTATCTGGAATATTGTGGCATGTGTGATTAAAAGTATTGCAGATTCTACTGTTGAGTGGAGAAATATAAATGTGACTGTTAGGTCTAATTGTCCTATCGTGTTGTTGAAATCCTCTGTTTACTTATCCATCTTATGTTTGTTTTTTAATTTACATTACTAAAAGTCAGATATAAAAGTCATTTACTGTTATCAGGTGCTGGCTACTTCATGTTTCAATTCTGTAAAATGTTGCTTCATATGTTTGGGAACTGTGATGTAAGGCACATGCGTTACTGTTGTTGCTTTTATTGTTGTATGTTGTTTTAATGTTTTTGCTTTTATTGTTGTATGTTGCTTTATTGTTGTTGCTTTTATTGTTGTTGTTTTTATTGTCCTTTTCCTCTTGTCTCTTGAGGAAGTTTTTGATATAATATGTATTTTGTCTACCATGACAGTATTTGATTTTGCATTTAATATTTTTTATTATTCTTTCATGTACAGGTTATATGTGTTCCAGATCATAATTTGGTTATTTGTAGGAAGCAGAGAGTTGAATCTTGTTTCATGAATTTATTTAGTGAAAGTATGTTTTTGATTGACATAATTGATTTATATAAAAAAAATTACTAAAAGGGAATGATTTCGTATTGCATTTTGTTTCTTTTTTGTTTTAGGTCCTGCAGCATTTTTTTTTTTTTTTTTGAGACGGAGTCTCTCTCTGTCGCCCAGGTTGGAGTGCAGTGGTGAGATCTTGGCTCAAAGTAAGCTCCGCCTCCCGGGTTCATGCCATTCTCCTGTCTCAGATTCCCCAGCAGCTGGGATTGCCGGAGCCTGCCACCACGCCCGGCTATTTTTTTTTTTTTTTTTTTTTTTTTTGGTAGAGACGTGGTTTCACCGTGTTAGCCAGGATGGGCTCGATCTCCTGACCTCGTTGATCCACCCACCTCGGCCTCCCAAATTGCTAGGATTACAAGCGTGAGCCACCGCCCCTGGCCGGTCCTGTAGCTATTTCGTTCCTGTTTTTCTCTCTTGTTCTCTTTCTTAGTGTACTATTGATTTTTGTAGTGACATGTTTTAATTCTTTTCTCACTACTCTCTGTGTGTGTATGTCTTTCTGTGTGTGTACTATAGGTATTTCCTTTTTTTTTTTGACAGGGTCTTGCTCTGTCACCCAGGCTGGAGTGCAGTGGCACAATCTCTGCTTACTCAAGCTCTGCCTCTCAGGCTCAACTCAAACAATCCTCCCACCACAGCCTTCTGAGTACCTGGGACCACAGATGTGCACCACTACTCCTGGCTAACAGTTGTTATTTTGCATAGAGACAGGGTTTTTCCATGTTACCCAGACTAGTCTCAAAATCCTAAGAACTGTAGGTATTTTCTTTGTTGTTACTATAGATATTACCAAGAATAACTACTATTACATATAAAACCCTGCCTCTTTATGGCTCCCTATGTGTTTTATTGATGTCACAAATTATATCATTTTGTGTTGTGAATCTGTTGGCACAGATTTATAGTCATTTTTAAGTCTTTGTTGTCTCAAATATATAGCAGAATTAAAGTATTCTGTGCATCTTCATTATAATTACAAAGAATATTATGATTGTGTACATAATTTTCTCTATTAGAAAATGTCATATTTTACATAATTTTGTGTTGCTCTCATCATTATTTCATTTTTTAATGTGAATGACTATTTAGCATTTTTTAAGACAGGCCTAGTGGGTATAAATTTATACAGTTTTTGTTGATCTTGAATATTCTTTATTTTTATTTTTTAATTCATTTGAAATGATAGTTTTGGCAGACATAGTGTTCTTGGCTGGTAGTTGCCATTTTTTCAGCACTTTGAGTATGTCATCCTACAACCTCTTACCTGTAAGTTTTTTTGCTGAGACATCTGCTGGTCATCCTGCAGGGGTAAACTTGTACATGCTAAGTCACTTTTTTCTTGCTGACTTCAAGATTCTCGGTGTTTTAACTTTTGAATCTCTGATTATAATGTGTCTTGTCATGGGTCTCCCTGTGTTGTTACTAGTTAGAGTTGGTAAAGTTTCATTAAATTTTAGGTCATTTTCTCCCTCAAATTCTGAGTTCTCTGTCACTGTTTGTTTCTTGAAATAATTTTGCTGCTCTCTTTTCTCTTTTTATTTTAGAATTCCCATTATGAGTATATTGGCCATCTTAATGGTATCCTATAATTCCCTTAGGCTCTCTTAATTTTTTAAATTATTTTTAGCCTCCTCACCCTATAATTTCAAATGACTTCTTATGAGGCTTGCTGTATTTTTTCCTGCTAGATCAAACCTGTTGTTGGACTTTCTAGTGAATCTCTAAACTCAGGTATTTTACTTTTCAGCTCTACACTTTGTTTCTATTTTGCACTTTTAATCACTTCTTTGATAATCTCATTATCTTCATGCATTGTTTTCTTTTTCTGTTTAGTTTTCTATATTCTTCTTTAGCTGACTGAGCATCTTTAAGCTAGGTGTTTTAGCCAGGCACAGTGACACGTGCATGTGACTCCAGCTACTTTGAAAGCTAAGGCAAGAGGGCTACTGTATTAATCCATTATCATGCTGATAATAAGGACATAAACAAGACTATGTAATTTATCATGAAAAAAGTTTTAATGGCCTCTCAGTTTCACATGGTTAGGGAGGTCTCACCATTATTGGAACAAGCAAGAGACCGTTCAGGGGAACCTCCACTTATAAAACCATCAGATCACATGAGACTTATTTGTTATCATGAGAACAGCATGGGAAGATCCCACCCCCATGATTCAATTACCTCCCACAGGGTCCCTCCCAGGACATGTGGGGATTATTACAATTTAAGATGAGATTTGATTGGGGACACAGAGCCAAACCCTGTCAATTACTTAAATCCAGGAGTTTGACACTACCCCGGGCAATATTGTGACAAGCTATTGGTAAAAAATATTTTCACAGATTACTCAGGCATTGTGGAATGTTCCTGTAGTCTCAGGAAGTTGGAGGCTGACGTAAGATTATTCCTTGAGTTCCCCAGGAACTTGAGGCTGCATTGAGCTATAATCATGGTATTGTATTCCTGTCTGGGTGAGAGAGTAAGACCTCTTTTTAGAATTTCAAATTTATTTTAGATTTAGGAGGTACCTACACAGGTTTTTTACATGGGTATTTTGCATAATGCTGAGGTTTGAAGTATGAGTAATTCCATCAATCAGGTAGTGAGCATAGTACTAAGTAGACAGTTTTTCAGTTCTTGGTCCCTCCCTCTCTCCACCCTCTAAGAGTTGTCTATTATTTTTGTTTTTCTGTCCATGTGTACCCAGTGTTAATTTCCATTTATAAGTGAGAATATGCAGTATTTTCATTTTCCATTTCTGCATTAATTTGCTTTGTATAATGGCCTTTTGTTGTGTTAACGTTGCTGCAAAGGAGGTTTTTTTTGTTTGTTTTTGCTAAGTAGTATTGCTGTACATGTGACACTTTTTAAATTCAATTTACCATCAATAGGCTGGACATGGTGGCTGATGCCTGTAATCCCAGTGCTGTGGGAGGCCAAGGCGGGTGGATCATGAGGTCAGGAGATCGAGACCATCCTGGACAACGTAATGAAACCCCGTCTGTACTGGAAATACAAAAGTTAGCCAGGCTTGGTGGCATGCGCCTATAGTCCCAGCTACTCGGGTGGCTGAGGAAGGAGGATTGCTTGAACCTGGGAAGTGGAGATTGTAGTGAGTTGAGATCGTGCCACTGCACTCCAGCCTGGGCAACAGAGTGAGACGTCATCTCAAAAAAATAAAAAATTACCATGAATAGGCACGTAGGTTGATTCAGGTCCTTCCTCTTATGAATAGTGTAGTGATGAACCAACAAGTGCATGTGCTATTTTGGTAGAATAGTTTATTCTCTTTTGGGTATATACCCAGCGGTGAAATTGCTGGGTTGAATCACAGTTTAACTCTCAGTTATTTGGAAAATCTCCAAGCTGCTCTCCACAGTGGCTGAACTAATTTACATTCCTATTAACAGTGTATAAGTGGTTTTTTCCCTCTAAAACCCCATCAACATCTATTATCATTTTACTTTTTAACAAAAACCATTCTAACTGGTGTACAATGGTGTCTTATTGTGGTTTTTATTTACATTTCCTTGATGGTTAGTGATGATAAGCTTTTTTCATGTTATTTGGCCACTTGTATGTGTTCTTTTGAAGAGTGTCTGTTATTGCCCACTTTTTCATGGGGTAATTTTTTCCTTGTGAATTCTTTAAGTTTCTTATAGATTCTGAGTATTAGATTTTGTCAGGTTCATAGGTTATGAATATTTTTGCCATTCTGCTAGCTTTGGGGTAAGTTAGTTTTTATTTTTCTAGTTTCTCTAAGTGTGATGTTAAATTGTTAGTTTGAGATCATTCTAACTTCTTGATGCAGGTATTTAGCACTCTCAACTTTCCTCTTAACAGAGCTCTTCCTACAACCCAGACATTTTGTTATATTGTGTCTCTTCTATTTCAAAATCTTTTTAATTTTCTGCCTTAATTTTTTTGTTTATCCAAAATTCATTCAGGAGCAAGTTGTTTAATTTCAATATCATTCTGTGATTTTGTGAGATTTTCTTGGTATTGATTTTTATCTTTGTTCCATTGTGGCCTGTCATATTCTGTGAGCAGATGAGAAGAATTTACTTTCTTTAGATGATGTGTTGCATATACTATAAATGTCTATTAGTTTCATTTGATCAAGTGTCGAATTAAACTCCAGAATTTCTTTGTTAAGTTTCTGCCTAGATAATCTGTCAAACACTTAGTGGGGAGTTACATTCCCCTACTATTATTGTGTGTCTACTTGAGTCTTATTGTCGGTCTAGCAGTAATTGTTGTATAACTCTATGTTCCCCAAAGTTGGGTGCATCTACATTTACGATAGTTAAGTCTTCTTGTTGAATTGAACCCTTTATCGTTACGCAATACCTTTCTTTGTTTTATTTTACTATTAATGATTTAAAGCTATTTTTTCTTAAAAGAGAAACAATTCCAGGTATGGTAGCTTGTGCCAGCACTTTCAGACTGAAGCAGTCGGATTGCCTGAGACCAGGAGTTTGAGACCAGCCGAGGCAACACAGCAACATACTGTTTGTACAAATTTTTTTAAAGAAACTATACAGGAGGGGTAATGTGCACAACTGTGGTCATATTTACTCAGGAGACATAGGTGGCATGACTGCTTGACTTCCGAAATTTGAGGTTACAGTGAGCTGTGATTCCACCAGTGTACTCTGTCCCAGGAGATAAAGTAAGATCCTCTGCATAAAATGAAAAAGTAAAGAAAAATAAAAAGATTTTAAGTTAAAAAAATAATTCCTAGATCTCCACTTCTTTAGGTTCACTTGAATATATATTTTTCTCCTTTGATTAAGTTATATTTCCTGGTTGCTTTTACTTACTGTAGTTTTGTTAAGGTTTTGATCAATTAAGAAACCACTACCTATTTTATCCTTTATGAAAGAGCTTTATACATGGGAAAATTGACAACATTCAGCCACAGTAGTCATACTGGGAGCTTCTCCAATCTGTTGTCAAAATGTGTCTTCTTTGGACTACTGTATGTATTTTCTTGTTAATAAGGTTTACCTCTGTTTCCTCTTAGGAGCCTTTAGTCTCTTCCCTTCGTCACTGTTGTAGGCACTACAGTCTCTGTTGTTGTAAGAAGCATTTATCTTTATTCTCAGTTGACCCAAGCTGTCATTTAAACTCAGTCTCTATTCTCATCAACACTAAATGTTAAAGGAAGCAATTTCCAGTCTTTAGATAACCCCGGTATAACTCAGTAAGTCAGAAGTTTGCATACGCATTTCACTCTTTTTTCTTTCCCAAAGGAGAATCATGGAATGGACAGATTTTTATCTAACTGCGCTGTTCTGTAGTGCACAAATGTGACCAAATTTTCTTCAAAATGTGGTTATGGTTGGCTTTTTTCTCATGTGGGGTGCTACAAACTCAACTGGCTTTGTTCACCCAATTGTAGTTAAGTTCATATGTCAATGGAGAGAAACAGGATCTCAGGTTCTGCTTCAACTGTCATTGTCTTCTCAGCTGACCTCATTTTGTACATTAGATTTATAAAATATATTTACTTTAATCTCATCACCGAATTTTTAAAAAAATTATTATTTTTCAGCTCTTTTAGCAATATATCCAATCAAGACCCAGAGAAAACAGTACATAGAAGCTTCTTTTCAAAAAGTAATATTGGGAAGATATGGGAGCTCTGGCCTTGAACTTTTACACTTAGGAGAGTGGGAAATTGAAGGATAAGTGTAAACGGCACAAAGTATGCTATGATGAATATACCAGATACACAGCAATTACCTACAGCAAAAATGTCACTGCTAGAAGAGCTCAAAACCATAAAGTATTTTGGAAAAAGCATAATTAATGTTGATTCTTTTTTCTGAACTATATATTTATATAATTACATACCAATAACAATTTTTGAAACATATCATGTTTTTGAAACAAAATTTAGAAAATCGCAATAGTGGCCTAGGCCAGGAATATTTCTTCTAATGCTATCCCTCCCATAGTCCCCCACTTCCCGACAGGCTCCAGTGTGTGATGTTCCCCTTCCTGTGTCCGTGTGTTCTCTTTGTTTAACTCCCTATTATGAGTGAGAACATGCGATGTTAGCTTTTCTACTCTTGTGTTAGTTTGCTGAGAATGGTGGTTTCCAGCTTCATCCATGTCCCTGCAAAGGACATGAACTCATCCTTTTTATGACTGCATCGTATTCCATGATGTGGACATGCCAAGTTTTCTTTATTCAGTCTATCATTGATGGTCATTTGGTTTGTTTCAAAGTTTTTGCTCTTGTGAACAGTGCCATAATAAACATACGTATGCATGTATCTTTATAATAGAATAATTTATAATCCTTTGGGTATATACCCAGTAATGTGATTGCTGGGTCAAATGGTATTTCTCATTGTGGATCCTTGAGGAATCACCACACTGTCTTCCACACTGGTTGAACTAATTTACACTCTCACCAACAGTGTATAAGTCTTCCTATTTTTCCACATCCTTTGTTGTTTCCTGATTTTTTTAATGATCACCATTCTAACAGGTGTGGGATGGTTTCTCATTGTGTTTTTGATTTGCATGTGTCTAATAACCAGTGATGATGTCCTTTTCTTCATTTGTTTATTGGCTGCATAAATGTCTCCTTTTGAGAAGTGTCTGTTCAAATCCTTTGCCCATTTTCGATGTTGTTGTTTCTTTTTTTCTTGTAAATTTGTTTAAGTTCTTTGTAGATTCTACATATCAGCCCATTGTCAGATGGATAGATTGCAGAAATTTTCTCCCATTCTTTAGGTTGCCTGTTCACTCTGATATAGTTTTTTTTGTTGTGCAGAAGCTCTTTAGTTTAATTATATCTCGTTTGTCAATTTTGGCTTTTGTTGCCATTGTTTTTGGTGTTGTAGTCATGAAGTCTTTGCCCATGCCTATGTCCTGAATGGTACTGCCTTGGTTTTCTTCTGGGGTTTTTATGGTTTTAAGTCTTATGTTTAAGTCTTTAATCCATCTTCAGTTATGTTTTGTATAACGAGAAAGGAAGAAGTCCAGTTTCAGTTTTTTGCATATGGCTAGCTAGTTTTCCAACACCATTTATTAAATAGGGAATCCTTTCCCCATTACTTGTTTTTGTCAGGTTCATCAAAGATCAGATGATTCTAGATGTTGAGTGTTATTTCTGAGGCCTCTGTTCTGTTCCATTTGTCAATATATCTGTTTTGGTACGAGTACCATCCTGTCTTGGTTACTGTGGCCTTTTAGTATAGTTTGAAGACAGCTAGCATGATGCCTCCACCTTTGTTCTTTTTGCTTAGTATTGTCTTGTCTATGCAAGACCTTTTTTGATTCCATATGAAATTTGAAGTAGTTTTTTTTCTAATTCTGTGAAGAAAGTCAATGGGAGCTTGATGGGGATAGCAATGAATTTATAAATTACTTTGGGCAATATGGCCATTTTCATAATATTGATTCTTCCTATCCATGAGCATGGATTGTTTTCGTTTGTTTGTGTCCTCTTTCATTTCCTTGAGCAGTGGTTTGTAGTTCTCCTTGAAGTGGTCCTTTACATCATTTTTAAGTTGGATTCCTAGGTATTTTATTCCCTTTGTAGCAATTGTGAATGAGAGTTAACACATGATTTGGCTCTCTGTTTGCCTATTATTGCGTATAGGAATGCTTGTGATTTTTGAACATTGATTTTGTATCCTGAGACTTTGCTGAAGTTGCTTATCAGTTTAAGGAAATTTTGGGCTGAGATGGTAGGGTTTTCTAGATATACAATCATGTCATCTGCAAACAAAGACAATTTGACTTCTTCTCTTCCTATCTGAATACGCTTTATTTCTTTCTTTCTTTGGCTGATTGCCAGAACTTCCAATACTATAATGAATAGGAGTGGGGAGAAAGGGTGTTCTTGTCTTGTGCAGGTTTTCAAAGGGAATGCTTCCAGTTTTTGCCCATTCAGTATGATATTAGCTGTGCATTTGTCATAAATAACTCTTATTATGTTGAGATAGGTTCCATCAATACATAATTCATTGAGAGTTTTTACCATGAAGAGGTGTGGAATTTTATTGAAGGCCTTTTTTGCATCTATTGAGATAATCATGTGGTTTTTGTCATTAGTTCTGTTTATGTGATAGATTTTATTTATTGATTTGCATATGTTGAACCAGCTTTGTATCCCAGGGATTAAGCTGACTAGATCGTGGTGGATAAGCTTTTTGATGTGCTGCTGGATTCGGTTTGCCAGTATTTTATTGAGGATTTTCGCATCGATATTCATCAGGGATATGGGCCTGAAATTTTCTTTTTCTGGTGTGTCTTTGCCAGGTTTTGGTTTCAGGATGATGCTGGCCACATAAAATGAATTAGGGAGGAGTACCTCTTTTTCTATTGTTTGAAATAATTTCAGAAGGAATGGTACCAGCTCCTCTTTGTACCTTTGGTAGAATTCGGCTGTGAATCCGTCTGGTCCTGGACTTCTTTTTGTTGGTAGGCTACTAATTACTGCCTCAATTTTAGAACTTGTTATTGGCCTATTCAAGGATTCGACTTCCTACTGGTTTGCACTTGGGAGGGTATATGTGTCCAGGAATTTATCCATTTCATCTAGATTTTCTAGTTAATTTGCAAAGAGGTATTTATAATATTCTGTAATGATACTTTTTATTTCTGTGGGATCAATGGTTATATCCCCTTTATCATTTCCTATTGCATGTATTTGATTCTTCTCTTCTTCCTTATTAGTCTGGCTAGAAGTTTATTTATTTTCTTGATCTTTTAAAAAAACCAGCTCCTGGATTCATTGATATTTTGGACGGGCTTTTTGTGTCTCTATCTCCTTCAGTTCTGCTCTGATCTTAAATCTTGTCTTCTGCTAGTTTTTGAATTTGTTTGCTCTTGCTTCCCTAGTTTTTTTAATTGTGATGTTACGGTGTCGATTTTAGACATTTTTCTGCTTTCTCTTGTGGGGATTTAGTGCTGTAAATTTCCCTTTCAGACTACTTTAGTTGTGTCGTATTTTACTTTTTAAGCCCTCAATCTTTCTTTTTCATCATGATAGTCTTTACTGTTTTATGTTTATGTAATGTAAAATTGACTACACAATTTTTACAAAGATTTTATGAAAATATTTTATTGAGAATGTACAAACCTGTCAGTCAATTAGAGGAGAAGTTACACTGTCATAATAAATAGCCACAAAGCAAAACCCCAAAAGACATCCAAATCAGAATAAAACAAAACATTTTAACAAAAACAAAAAGAACAAACTGGCAACAAATATGTGAAGTTTATATTACAAAGATGCTCACTTATCCACTCTAAAGAGAGCTTTTAGAATTTGATTTAAAATACGGCAAAGACATTATCCCACACTTCACAGAAAAAATAAATTTAAGCAGCTGTTAACACATGAATGTATTATCAAGCTCAGATATAATCAAAATTAAATATTTGACAAGAGATTCTACAGTTTGGGAGAAATAGAAGTGTTTTTTTTCTTTTCCCCAGGCCCACAAGTCTAGTTTCTTGCTCTTCTTCACTATAATGGGGTTTGTCATCAGCTCCCCAAAATATGGGAAGCACAGAGCAGGTGGTGGCTGAAGGTGGGGTATCCTGTGAAACCATATTTAAGATCAGAGCCCTTGGTCCATTGTGTTGTAATCAGCTGGCTCAGGAAAGAACACCTGGCTGTCCAGAGCTCTACACCTACTGCACTGGGTGTGAAAGGAGGCCTGAGAACCCATGGGTCCCAAACCCACCCCACTCCAAATTATCATCCAGTATTGAGAACTCTGACACCAAATTCTCACAGAGCATATGTTTATGCAGTTTTACATTTAATTTCTCATTACATTACAATTGGGAAACTGAGGCCCCAGAAGAGGCAGAGACTGGTCCAGATCTCAGGAGGTGGGCAGGCTCCAGAGCATTAGAGAGGGCTCCAGCTTCCTAGGCCTTGGCACCGTCCCACTTATCAGGTTTGTTTTCGAAATTAGAGTCTGTAGCTACACATTCAGGAGCACAGAAAATGAGCAGATTCAGGGTTCTGTTCACATGGGGTCCTCTCCATGTCAGTTTCAAGATAACAGGACTGGGGTTCTGCATCCAGCTCTGAGGGCAACTGGAAGTAAAATGAGCTATGCTCCACCTCAGCCTAATGTAGACAGTGCCTACAGGAAAGCCTGTTTTCTTCCTCATAAATAGGGGTGCCTGAAGTGGGTGACCTTGATGATTTCACATACTCATAAGTGTCTGCCAGCCTGGATTCTTGCTCTGAGACTGCAAAAATGCACCCACTCTGCAGATCCTTCAAATCAGAGGGAGGCATGGCCACTTGAGAGGCATCTTGGGTAGATGAAGATGAGACAGAGTTAAATGTGCCAGAGCACTGGACTCTGAGGCTGAGGTCCACGGAAAATCTCAGCTACTGTTGCGTTCTTAAGGTCCTCATTTGAAAGTGGTAGAAAATAATTTCACTGGATAAGGGGAGGATACCTCATGAGTAAATAGCACAACCAAAAAGGTGGAGGCAAAGAGAGGGCAAAACGGGATTCCTAGGTCACTCATTATACTTGGGGCCTTCAGATCCTGCTACTTTATCCCCTAGGACCTTGAAGAACCAGTGTCTTGAGGACAGAAAAATCAAGGTATCAGATTTGTTCGGTAGTGCTCCTGCTTGGGGCTGTAGGGTTAGTGATGGCCAGGAGGTGGTTACAGCCTACTGTGTTTCTGGTGCCCACTGAGCTTTGCTGGAGCAGCTGGAACAAGTAACAGTCACACAACTCATGTTGTTATCAGTGATGTCCACATTATCAGGTGGTCAAAAGGGGAAGGGATATTAGAGATCCTCCATATAATCACTTAGCCAGTCTTTTTTCCCTTGCGCTCACCATTTGCCAGTGACCCTGGTGGGTCCAACATGTGGTACAGAAAATTATTACATCATGTCTGCACCCCCCAACCCAGGACCAAACAGTCTGAGGACCGCTGGACAAAAGCACTAAAGCAAGTATATGTGAAAGAAAAGAGCAAGGACTATAATATAAAGTAGATTATTGAGAAGAAAACCTGGAAAATTATTGCATGGGAGGAACTCAGGCGTCACTGAGGTGACTTTTAATCCATGATGAGGATGACAGCAGGGAGGCATCTGCACAAGCATGTGTCAGGGAGAAGCCACCCTTAGTGAAAAAACTCATAGGTGTGAGTTTGGCAGAGGTAAAAAGGGACTAGTTTGGCTGCAGACAGCCTGAGAAAGAGATAAGCAGAGGGATGGAGAATCCTAGGGCCTGGGAGATGAGGTTAGATATCTGCTCCTTTCTGACAACATTGCCCTAAAAGTCAGCACTTTTCAACAACATATAATATCTCATAATTTGTGTGGACCAGAATCTGGACACAGTTCAGCTGGCTACCTCTGCCTTCAGGTCTTTTATGAGACTGGGGGCTGTGGTCTTAACTGAAGCTGGACTGGGAAAGCATGAGCCTTTAAGCTGACTCATGTGAAAATTGACAGGGTTTAGTGTGGCTGGAGAGCCTGACTTTCCTTCTCTCTACTCGTCTGAGCACCCCCTCACCCTTTGTTATGTGGGTCTCTACATGGAGCATCTCATAGCATTGGAGCTTGCTTCCTGTGTTTGAGGAATACAATAGACAGAATTAGACAAAAAGGTTTACACAAAAAGAGACAGAAAGATCGAGGGCGCAAACGAGAAAAACCCAGTAGGAGAAAAATTAGAGCTTTAAAAACATCTTGACAGGGTGCGGTGGCTCACACCTGTAATCCCAGCACTTTGGGATGCTGAGACGTGTGGATCGCCTGAGGTCAAGGGTTTGAAACCAACCTGGACAACATGGTGAAACCACCGTCTCTTCTAAAAATACAAAATGAGCCAGATGTGGTGGCGCATGCCTGTAATCCCAGCTACTTGGGAGACTGAGGCAGGAGAATCAATTGAACCTGGGAGGCAAAGGTTCCAATAAGCCGAGATCACACCACTGCACTCCAGCCTGGGATACAAGAGTGAAACTGTGTCTCAAAAAAAAAAAAAAAAAAAAAAAAAGAAAGAAAGAAAGAAAGAAAAAAAACTTGAGAGTTACTATAATTTTTCTTCTATATTTGTGTTAAAATTGTAACCCCGGGCGTAACGCTATAAGGAGGTAGAAAGTAATTAACCCCTTAGGGTGGGACCCTCATAATACAGATTACTGGCTTTATACAAGAAACCGCAGAGGGCTCTCATCCTCCTGCAAAATGAGGGTAAAACCTGAAGTGTGCAGGCTGAAATTCAGAAGCCAGTCATCACCAGATCTCAACCATGCTGACACCCTGATCTCAAATTTGAACCTCTGGAGGTATGAGAAATTAAGTCCTGTTGTCTATATGCTGCCTATCTATGGTTCTTTGGCATAGCAGCCTGAACTAATACAAAAGGGATATCCTTTTCTGTGTTTCATTGGAGAGAAGCTGAATTTGTACCCCCTATACTGTTAAAAAAAAGACTTAAAAAATGGATCTTCAGAATGAAAGATAGGAAACGGCTTGTTGAAACACTAAAATTTTAACTGCTATAAGTTTTTTAAACATTGGCTGAAATTGTTGGAACCAATATGGCCAACTGAAGTCCATGAAGCATCAGTTTGCAGACTTTGGAGCCCAAATTTCCATTGTGTGCTTCATACTAACTCTCCCTGAATTTGTATGTGACCTGTGAGGAAACAAGAAGAGATGACTGTATATGTCTCATGACTTTCCATATTCCTACTTTCCTTCCAGCAATCCCCTACAGAACCCACCTATTAGGCCTTTTCTAATCACTGCCTTAAAGCCAGTATGACAAAACAAATTTGATTTGAACTCCTATCTCCTTGTTAGCCAACATACAAGATGATATTTTCCTCAAAACCGAAGGGCCATAGTACTGGCATCAGGAAGTATTCCATTTTATTCAATAAAAAACTGAGTCACTCAATACCTAGTACTGGGAGACTTTGTGAAGACTTCCTCTGTCATAGATGTGATAAGGCACATGGAAATGATTCTAAATATAAAGAGAAAGCACTAGAAAGTTGAATTCCTGTATTAGATCATTCTCATACTGCAATGATGGAGTACCTGAGACTGGGTAACTTATAAAGTAAAGAAGTTTAATTGACTCACATTTCCACATAATTGTGGGGGCACCTCAGAAACCTTCCAATTACAGTGGCTGACAAGTGAAGTGAGTGAGAGCATGGGATGTACCAGATGCTTATGAAACTATCAGATCTCGTGAGAACTCACTATCACAAGAACAGCATGAGGAGAACCCGTCCCCATAATCCAATCATCTCCCCTCAGGTTTTCCCTTAACACCTAGGGGTTATAATACACAATGAGTTTTGGGTGGGGACGCACAGCTAAACTATATGAATGCCAGAGGACAGTATCTACATTTAATTTCAACTTCATACTGGAGCAGAATGAAAATGAGGCCCAGTGGAGAAGTGATATTTCCAAGATCACCCTGGCAGACACCAGGCCTGTTTGAGTTGTGGCCCATGCTACCTCCCACCTATTCTCCTAATGCTTCCATCTCTAAGTGTGTGCATTATCTACAGGTGACACTACATCATTATTTTTATGTCTTATCTTTTTTTTTTTTTTTTTTTTTTTTGAGACGGAGTCTCGCTCTGTCGCCCAGGCCGGACTGCGGACTGCAGTGGCGCAATCTCGGCTCACGGCAAGCTCCGCTTCCCGGGTTCACGCCATTCTCCTGCCTCAGCCTCCCGAGTAGCTGGGACTACAGGCGCCCGCCACCGAACCCGGCTAATTTTTTGTATTTTTAGTAGAGACGGGGTTTCACCTTGTTAGCCAGGATGGTCTCGATCTCCTGACCTCATGATCCACCCGCCTCGGCCTCCCAAAGTGCTGGGATTACAGGCGTGAGCCACCGCGCCCGGCCACTGTCTTATCTTATATACACCTAACACATTCCCTAGGAAGTAGATGTTAGCATCATCACCACTGTGCATGTTAGGAGGCTGGGGAAGCCTTGAATACAGTGACTTTTACTGGGTCCCAGAGATGGTAAGAAAAACAAAGTTATGTTCCAGCTGTCTCTTCTCTCCTGGAACCCAGGTTGCATTTAGGTCTTTCCAGGGAATTAAGGGGAAGTTGTGTTTGCATAATTGTGTACAAATAAAGAGTTGACATGGAAGAGGAGACTGAGCAATCAGTAGCATAGTGGGGCCTTTCGGTATGTCTTACAGAAACATAGGGCCCAGTAGATGGAACCTTGAAGAGTTTAACACACTTTCTTGGTGTCAGAACCCAACAGCAGTTAAGAAACCAGGAATCCACATTCTTGAGACAGCTCTGTATCCACCTCTGTTTGTGAGAGTTGCTCAAGAGAGTGAGATGCTCTTTCATTGTGCCCTGAAATTTCTGAGTTTCAGCCTTACAAAGGCTCAATGTAAAAGTCTTATCTGATAACACAGATGTCAACTGAGCCCTCATCACTGATGTCCCTGGCTATTGGCCGGGTGCACCTACAAATAACACAGGGCAGCCCAGGACAGGCCCCTCCAAGCCAGCCTCTCTTGTCAACTCATCTGGGCAGTCCCACACCACTTCTTAGTACCATGAGTTGGATGGGGAGCAAGAGGGAGGGCACTCTTCTTGGACTGAAGTAGATTGTCGGGTGTTGGAACTCTTGTGTACCTGTCATGTTCATACCTAGGCCATAGCTGGCAGAATAAAAAGAAGAGGGTTGGAGAATGAGTCTGTGTACTCAGATGTGAATTCCAAGACTTTAACTTGTCCTCTGGTTTCCTTCCTTCATGGAGATTTATACAGATTCTCCTTATGTGCCTTATCTGAAGAGCAGAATTTCTTTTATTTTCTTTTTTCTTTTTTCCTTTCTTCTTTTCTCTTTTCTTTTCTTTCTTTCTTTCTTCTTTCTTTCTTTTTTTTCTTTCTCTTTCTTTCTTTCCATCTCTCTCTTTCTTTCTTTCTTTCCTTCTCTCTCTCTTTCTTTTTTATTTATCATGAAGTCTCACTCTGTTACCCAGGCTGGAGTGCAGAGAAAAGCAGAATTTCTAATGGAGGTGTCACATACGGTCAAAGCAAGGCAGAACACAGACTTTTCTTTGCGTGGTTTCTAGGCACATTTACAAAGCTGCATTCAGATTGATGAGGAGCTTCATCATTCAGTTTAATGTGGCCAACTCCTCCCTCTTTTTGGAAAAAGAGCAGGTGCACTAAACCAGCAAACACAGCCAGCACTGGGCTGTGCTGAGAGCAGCCACATAGGGGTCTCTACAGACAGAAACCCGAGAAGACCGGGAAAGAACCAGGACCCAGACTCAAATATGAAAAATCTCTGGGCTTTGTCCTACGGCCTTCCCATGAGTAACTCATAGCCTTGTTCCAGTGGAATCTGGCCTTCACTAGTCTCAGTGGCAATTTGGTTATGTGGAAAGTCTCTCTTCACACACTTGTGCGAATAACGATAAAGAATTTTGTATTGTTTTCACTCTACATTAGACCATGAGTATTTATGCCTGTGGCTGCAGTTTGTATTAGTTTCCGGCCCCAGGTATCTCCTGCAGCATGCAGCTTCAGTCCTATCGGACCCTCAAAACTTAAAAGCTAACACTATTACTAGGGAGGATTTCGCAGGAAAATGGTGAGAGGGTTACACACAAAAAAGGTTAAACTACTCTATGCATGTTTCTGCAATGTGTTATCTCAGGAACTCATTTCTGTAGCCCATCAGGGCAGGAGCTGGGCTCTCACCTGTTGATAATATTCCATAAGGGAGGTTCTTCCCCACAGTGTTTAGTCTTCCAACGCTGGTACAGCCTGACATGATGACATTCTACTTTCATGTCGGTCATGCTGCAGGGAAAATTCTGTGAGTGTCCTAATAGGCTGGAATCATTTGCTAGGGTGAACCCCATCTTTGGTGCTCACTTTTCTGTTATCTTGTAATTAGCTTTATTCTCAGCAAATCCATGTCTATTTTATTTATCTGTTTATTTACTTATTTTTATGTATGGAAAAACACTTTTTTTTATTTACTTATTTATTTAGAGACAGGGTCTCCGTCTGTTACCCAAGCTGGAGTACAGTGGTAGAGTGCTGTGATCATGGCTCATTGCAGCTTCAAACTCTTGGGCTCAAATGATTCTCTCACCTCAGCCTCCTGTGCCACCATGCCCTGCTAGTTGATTTTAATTTTTTATAAAGAAGGAGACTCATTAGGCAGCCCAGGCTGGTCTCAAACTCCTGGGCCCAAGCAATTCTCTCATCTCAGCCTCCCAAAGCACTGGGATTAAAAACATGAGCCACTGTACTGAGCTGTGTCTACTTCAAAAGACTGAAAATAAAAAATCAATAAATCTTTGCCAAATTAAAAAACAAAACAATAGTTTCCAGGTCTTAGACAAAGACAATTCTGTGTCATGAAGGTGGCAAAAGGCTTATTTAGCTGTTAAAATGATTTGCTTATATTTCAAAGAAGCAGAGAAAAAAAGATACATATAAAAGTTTTCCAGGCCAGGCACGGCTGTTCATGCCTGTAATCCCAACATTTGGGGAGGCCAAGGCAGGAGGATCTCTTGAAGCCAAATGTTTGAGTCCAGTACAGGCAACATGGTGAAATTCTGTCACCATAAAAAAATAAATAAAATAAATATGGCTGGGCATGGTGGTTCACGCTTGTAATACCAGCACTTTGGGAGTCGGAGGCAGGTGGATAATGAGGTCAGGGTTCGAGACCAGCCTGGCCAAAATGGTGAAACCCTTTCTCTCCTAAAAATAATAACAATAAAAAATCAGCCAGGCATGGTGCTGTGCGCCTGTAATGCCAGCTACTCAAAAGGTTGAAGCAAGAGAATTGCTTGAACCTGGGAGGCGGAGGTTGCATTGAGCTAAGATCATGCCACTACACTCTAGCCTGACCCACAGAGCAAGACACTGTCTTGAATAAATAAATAAATAAATAAATAAATAAATAAATAAATAAATAAAGTTAGCCAGGCCTGGAGGTGCATGCCTATAGTCCTAGGTAATTAAGAGGTTGAGGCAGGAGGACTGCTCAAACCCAAGAAGTTAAGGTTATAGTGAGCTATGATTATGCCATTGCACTTCAGACTAAGCAAAAGAGTAAGATTCCATCTCAAAAAATTACTAAAAAAAGTTCTCTAAATTACATTGTTTAAGAAAAGGGAAAAGAAAAAATATCTTTTTTAATTTTCAAATGGGAGGATAGAGCCTCTCATTTCTAATATGTATTTCCTTCTGCAAAAACATGGCCTAGGCCCATGGTCTTGAACTACTGGACATCTGAATTTTAGTAGGTGCTGGATTCAGGCAACTGAGGGGTGGCTTGGACACACTAAGTGCACGTAAATAAAAGGTTTGAGGTGAACTAAAAGGTAAAAGAGGGGAAGGTGCTATTAAGAACCCACAATTGGGAGACATTACAGGGTTGGTGGAAGGACTGGTTCATGCTACAGATACTGACCCAGGTGAAACTTTACTCTGACTTATTTCTGTGTCCATGCAGGAAGACGAGATTATGATCAGGTGGCACAGAAACCTGGGATGGTGAAAAAACCAGGTTGCCCCTGCAGATTCGGTGTCTGAGGTAGAGCATATGCCAGGGGTCTTGTAGGCACGTGTGTGGGTTTTTGGTGGGAAAGTCTATGAGGATAGGTAGCATGGGCCACAATCTTTATGCCGAAGCCCTGTGCTGGGAGGGGCTTGACCACGTCAACATGCAGTGTGTATGTTCAGTGGGTGAAAAACATGTGGTGGCCTCAGGTTGGCAGGAGGGTAGAAGGCATCTGTTCTCAGAACTTCTTCCCTCAGAGTCGTCGGTCCTTCTTACCATGGGAGGATGCCTGGAACCACAGGGCAGTTCATGGTGTAGCAGCCTGTGTGCAGAGCAGAGCCTACCTTCCCCGAGACACCTGGAGTCTCTCTCCAGCAGAGGCCCCCACATTGTCTTTCTTTTTATGTTTTTGATCCTAAATGTGGAAAGTTCCCTGAAAACCCACTGATTCTCCAACACCCATTTGTTGCCCCAAAATTTAATTCTGACACAACTTAGAGTTCGCACAGACCCCACAAATTCAGGGCTCAGTCCCACATCACCTCTCTCACTGTAGAGGAGAGTTACACATCCCTGAAACCCATCTACACTTCTGAGCTACCTCCTATAAATCTGAGACTAGCATAAACCCCTTTTCAAGTTAAATAATTTGATAGAATTACTAAAAAGAAAACCTCAACAAATAACTGTAATTATATTTACTACTTTATTATAAAAATATAACTCAGAAACAGCCAAATGGAAGAGATGTCTAGGGCAAGGAACAGTTGTGGGTGAAGGTAATCCTGGAAATAGCTATATTTAAAGAAATTCCCCCATTCTTTGCATTCTCAAAGAACAGCTTAGTGAAGAGAAACGTGCTTCCCGTGATGACTTTGAGGATGCTCCCTGCTGTTTTTTTAACCTATCACAAAAATGGACACAGATTGCAAATTCCCATTTTTAAAAATGAACAACCATTCAGTAATTTAGTCTTCAGTGGTCAAAATAACATACTCTTTACAGAAACTTTGCTTGTTTCTCTTCTTCCAAACAGCCCCTGAACTTTGACTCACCCACAGCTTCAGCAAACCTACAACCCTTATTTATACGTAACCCTCCTAAGAACAGGCTGAGTTCAAGGTGAAACATTATCTTATCTGGGATCTCATTTTGCTACCCTCCATCCTGTGCTTCCTTTCCAACCTTCTTTGTAAACTTGTTTTCTCCTCCCTATGAAATAAGGCCTTTTTCCACCTAACCTTAGAGATACTCAAAGATCTAATCATTTGTACTTTTTCTTTGTTGCAATACTTCTTAGGTAACTTCTTAGACCAAGTCTAGAAACAGTCTGAGGACAATAACAATTCCATTCTAAAAAGAATCTCCCAACATTTCTTCTATCTCTACCTCAACTGCATCTGCCTGTGAACTTCCAGCTTACCAAGGCTCTATATCTTCTGGCAGTGACAAAGGCTCCTTCCATGATTGGTGTGAGTAGGCTTGGACACCTGCAGGGCAGACACCCAGGAATAATCAACTGAGCCTTCAGTGGTCCTCTTTTGCTGGGTCAAGGTGGGCCTTAGCTTTTAGTCGATGGTCTAAGACTTCTACTTACCAGTTAGTCATTCAGTTAGTTTTCAATTCAAAAAATACTTCATGTTTGAAGAATCCAGCAAAAATTATTCAAATCTAAGGTATAAAAGAGAGGAAATTACAGCCGGGCATTGTGACTCATGCCTGTAATCCCTGCATTTTGGGAGGCCTAGGTGGGCAGATGACCTGAGATCAGGAGTTTGAGACCAGCCTGACCAACATGAAGAAACCCCGTCTCTACTAAAAATACAAAATTATCCAGGTGTGGTGTTGTATGCCTGTAATCCTAGCTACTCGGGAGGCCGAGGCAGGAGAATCGCTTGAAACCAGGAGGTGGAGGTTACAGTGAGCAGATGTCTTGCCATTGTACTCCAGTCTGGGCAACAAGAGTGAAACTACATCTAAAAAATAACAGAATAAAATAAAATAAAAACATTATAAGGGGCTTATATCTTATAATTCATCAAGAAAAGCCAAAGTATCTATCCCTTTCAGAAAATAAACATGTAATTTAATTATGTTCATAACAAATCATTTAGTAAACAATTAATCATATGTGAACACTTCCAGGAGGCGCAAAGTCCCAGCTCCTAAAACTTAACATTACCCTCAAACACCCAGATGGCAGCATATGGAATAGAGTTATTCACTTTCACAAGTTCTCTCTTTTGAAAAAAAGAATAACTTATGTGATAAATTTATGTAATTTGACAATTAATCTACCTCATGTGCTTGCAGATATGTATTCATTTCCTACCACCGTAGTGGAAGAGATACTATCCCTATCTTTACAACTGATAGCATTTCCAACAGTAAGCTGTGAGATTCTGCTTGAAATCACCTCTCAAACAAATAAAAAACAGACCTGGGAGACATGCTACGCTCATTCTGCTGAAGAAATAGGTAAGTAACAATTTTTAACAAATGAAATATATTACTACTTAATTTTATTCAAAATTCACCAACTTAATGTGCTTTATAAATATTCTCATACCTTTGAAGCTCTACTGATAAAACATAATTTACAGTTAATGAAAAAGTGAAGTTAAAATAAATACAATCATATTTTCAAGGTGACAAAATTAGAAGGTGACAATGCTGATTGAAACACAGACATATCTGACCCAAGGGTCAAGTCAAGCCGTTCTATTACTTGGGATATTTTCCCTGCTCCTATCTGGTTCAGTGATGTGGGTCATGAGCGTCCTACCAGGAGCTGCTACGCTCTGCTCCACTGTGTCTGTAAGGTGCATTTTACTTTGCAGGTTTTTGCACTGCCTCACTAGGTTGGGTTTCTTTATCCTTTGAAATATTTTCTCTCCCTTCACCAATCTGAGGACATTTTTTCCTCAATATCAGCATCCAGTTGCCTGGCCTGCAATGTGTCTCTAAGGAATGGAAACTAAGCGTTGGGGTAAGAAATTCTTAATGTCCTAAGAGGTTTGCTTTTAACGCAAAGGTATACGTGGAGATTCCTTCCAGGTATAGTGCATCCAACCACTCCAAAAAGAGGCTGCATTCCCATACCTTGGGCTGTTCCCTGAGAGGAGATGACACAAGGGATGCTATTTACTAGACACTTCAAGAGTCATGGCCAGTGTTGGTATCTTGGGGATTCTCAAGCAGTTTTGAAACCCAAAACCAAGAAAATAACACAGGATGGCTGAGGATGTATTGCCCTGTGAGGTTTCTGAAATGAAACCTCAACCCAAAGACATTCTGATGGGGTGTCTGTGCCAAGGCAAGATTAAAGAAAGGGGCACAAATATTTTCTTTTCTTTTCTTTTCTTTTTTTTTTTACTGTGGATTGTCAGGGGATTATTATCTGCTTTCATGTCCTGTAAAATGTTTACAAATGAAAAATATTTTTTTAAGTGCCATCCACTGCTTTTTGAAAAAATGCAGAATTAAAATACTATGTCTAAAATGTACAATAAAGAACAGTTGATAATGTTGTGAGTTACACAAGGTTAGTTAGTGTTGGTAAGTGTCAGGAAAGAACTGGAAATTTAAACTCTGACTGCAAGCAAGAGTTAGGCTGGGGTAACAGGGTGGTAGATTTGAGGCTCTTCTTGCCACACATTTGGAAAATGCATGAGAAAATGAATTCTTTTTTGGAGCATTAAAACAACTAAAAAACAGGCAATTGCATTGAGGTGGCTCTAGTGTACTGACCTCTGAGTGGAGAGACAGGCAAAGGCATCCCTAGATCCAAAAAGCTGCCCATTCTTCTCCAGCTGTGCACCTGATTAGATAATTTCCACTCCAGCACCCGTGACTGGATATAGTTCAATTCCCCACCAAGCCCCCTCAGGCCATGAGTGACATATGTGATTTGACACTGGATTGAATAAAGCAAGAATTATAGGTTTTTCCTGGATCCTTTTCTGGCAGGGCTTCCTTCATGCACTGGACACTGGCCCTGCCTGTAAAATACTTGCATTTTCATTTGTGTGTAAGATTATTTGTATTTATGAAAAATATATATGTGTTATTCATACATGGAAGCAATATAATGACAATTATTTTAAAATTTCAGATTTTTTACTTCCTGGCACATCCAGGTTTTAGAGCAGGCAGCCTGAGATTTCAAAAATGAGGCAATTCTCTAAGAAATAATATGTGAGGCACATGTGAATTTTAAATATTCTAGTAGCTACATTTTAATAAATACACCAGGCATGGTTGCCTGTGCCTGTAGGTTGAAATGTTTGGGAGACTGATGTGGGAGGATCATTTGAGGCAAGGAGTTTGAGACTAGCCCATGCAGCATAGAGAAAGCCATCTCAACAACAACAACAAAAAAAAAAATTGAAAAATTAGCCATGCCTGGTGTATGCCTTCAGTCCCAGCTACTCAGAAGGCTGGAGCTGGAGGATCACCTGAGCCTGGGAGGTCAAGGCTGCAGTGAGCCATGATCACACCACTGCACTCCAGCCTCACTGACAGAACAAAACTCTGACTCAAAAAACTGATCTCTGGAAAGGCATTTTCTTTTTCTGTAACGTAGCCAAATAGCTAAATTTGTATTGAAGCCATCCTTTAATTTTTAACAGGGCAAGAATATTTTCTAAGACCCTGAACTCCAGATATGTGATGGGGCAAATCCTGAAGCGTACATGGCTATCTCTCACAGCTAAAGCATCCCTCACCCCTATCCAGCGCTTCTTACCCCTGGCGCAAGAGAATCACCTGCGGGGAGGAAAACTTTCAAAATCCCTTAAACCCAAGTTGTAACCGCACAACTAAATCAGAATCCTTGGAGCTGGATCTGAAAAAAATACGGTTGAAAGTTGTGCAGGTGATTACAATGTGTAGGCAAGCCAGAAAACCATGGCTTTAACGAGCAGCTTTTGTTAGAAATGATTTCTCAAATGAATGTAAAAACGTTTGCTGCTGAATTGTGACCTTTCAATTTTACCTGCTTTTCCTGCAAAGTATATTTTGCAGACCCAGGCTGGCTTCTCCTTCTGTTCATGGTTCACCCAGTGCCGTGTGTGCTCAGTGCATCCTGTGCACGGGTCACTGTGCTGTGTGCGCTGGCCTGGGTGAGCATCATTCTTCGGGGAGAACCTTTCTGAAAACAAAGCTGCAATCCAAAAAGTTAAAACCATGCTACTTACTGTACTGAGGTAAAAATTAAAAGACCTAGGGGACTCTTCCAAAAGTTAAAACGTAAATAAATATCTTGGAACATTAATATACACCTGACGATGTCCTGAGAGAACACGCCCCACTTTAAAACAAAACAAAACATTACTATTATTCTAAAATATTAATTTAGGATTGTTATGCAAATATGTACTATTTAAATATTTATTGATGAATAACTTGCATACAGCAATATAGGAACAAAATATTTATGGAATGCTTGATGAATTATTACTAAATAAATACACTTGTGTATGTAAGAATCAGATTTGCTCATGCCCTTGACACTTTCTCCTTCCCAAAGGTAACCAAGACCTTAAGAGCTAAGTGTAGATAAACTTTGTCATTTTCTACACGTGTTTTATTACAGAACATTAAAAACGTATACATAATACAAAAAAAAGATAACAGACCAGTCACCCAGATTTAACAGCTGCTAGTCATGTGTCATTTTTGTTTCACCTATACTTCCAGCCATTCCCACCCCAGTTTCATTATTTTTTAGCCTTTTTGGATAAAATGTATATTCATTGCAAGGTACAATGTGAACTGTGAATAGTAGAGAGATGGGGTTTCACCATGTTGACCATGCTAGTCTTGAACTCCTGTCCTCAGGTGATCCACCTGCTTCGCCTTCCCAAATTGCTGGGATTACAGGCATAAGCCAATATACTCAGCCTGAGAATTCATACTTCTAAGAAAGTACAAATCCATAGGGCACATGAGAACTGCAATGTCTATCTACAGTAAATACAGTTTGATAAATAAAATGAAAGGCAATTGACCTAAGGTGAAAAAAAAAACAAAAAACAATCAAAGCATGGGTACTATGTGTCATCTGTAGGAGCATTTGGTTAAGAATAACAAACAAACCAGTTTTATTGTTTTAATAGCCGAAATTGGCAAAATTTCTAGTTTTTCTTTCATAGGAATGCTCTTTGCAAGAAAAAATTTTCATATAGTGAGAGCAAAAATGGCAACCATTTGCAAGTAAATGTCTTATGAAATTAAGTAGCAGATATCAAGCTCATGACCTTCAGATAGTTACCCCTAACTCAATCACTTACATAGCAAGTGCAGATAATTTTCATAGCTCCCTATTAAAATTATATTTGAATGCCCTTACAAATTGTGACTGTTTTTAAATAAAGTTGACCAAATAAAATTTTGTATATGACATATGATAAATTCCCCTTCAAGTCACCTTACATTTACTTAATTTTATTAGGCAGTGTCTGTCTACCACCCAATAATACTTGACGATTCTCCCTCCATTTGCACAGGCATCATAGCTGGGAAACGGATTCACAAGACCCAGGCTGTTCCCTACATATGTTTCCTCCTCCGACATCAGTTCATCAGTCAATCAAGCCATGTGAGAGTGGAGGCCTTGTATTCCCTATTATTCTTGGGCACTCTACTCCAAGTAGGAAAAGGCCAGGAGGTCCTGTTAAAGGATGCACTCAGAGCCCGGGCTCCCTAACATATGAGAGTGCTAACCAGCAGGTGTAGACTTTTCAGGAGTGAAGAATGAGGCAGGCATTCCAAACCTGGACCTTCATCACCTTTTGTTTCATCTCAAGACAATTCTGAGGGACTGTTTTGGAGCGTGTCTGGAAGGTGAACCTTGAAGAAGAGTGTGGGTTTTGATGTGACTCAGTTGAGATCTTTCATGGGGAGGCAGGAATTCAATGCCCAGAATCTGGGCTGGTGTCTTTGAGGTCAGTAGGTTGCGTCTTTGTATCCAAGTCCATTGTTACTAGGTTGGAGGCTGGAGATTCTAAATGGCTTCCAGACCATCTCTCTGATTCTCTTTGGGAGATGGGGTCTGAAAGACAATGTCAGTAGTTTTGGGAAATTCTAGAAAGTGTGCTTGGAAACGTGGGAAGAGCTCTTGCCTAGTGCCTAAATGCTCCATTTGCAGCTCTAGCCAAGTAGATACTTGGTAGGTATAGAGCCGGGTTTGCGTTTATATTAGCAAAACCTATGTCAGAGTTGAAGAAGTAGTCAGGAAAAAGCGTCTTGGTCGCAGGCCGGGGAACATCTTAAAAGCAAACTTCTAGCCTGCTGACTCTTGGCAATGAGTGTTGGATCCTGGCTAAAGTGCCTTGAATGCAGCATGAGGCCAATCCATGAATCCAACTTCTCATGGAGAAATGTTAATATTTTTTCAGTTTGAATCAATCAGGGTGAAACTACCATGCTATTGGTTTGCTTACTTTTTATTATTTCATGTAAAATCTAAGACAAAATACATTAAATGCTTATTGACATATGTATTTATTCTTCACCAGGCTGATAATATCTGCCTAATTTTAAACTTTCTTCCATTTTGTAGGTTTCAACTTATTCTATTGTAAGATACTGTTAAATCTAATAGAGGCATTGTCACTTTTACGTATAATTTTATTTTATTTCATATATTTCCTATTGGTTTTTTACATTTAAATTATGGAGCACTTCATCATATAAAAAACTTCAATTATATTTAAACAGTAAGTCTTTGGATTTTTTTGCCTTTTAATTTCCATATTACATAATAATGAGATAAACATTAATGTTTTCAGGGTACTTTAAATTTTAGATAATTACTCATTGTATTCATGTGAAATTTGTTTTTACTGCATGTGTGGGTTGGAGGACGGTTTTCACTTCTGATTCATCTTTACTCTTATCTCATCAGAGCTCATACCTCTTGTAGTTGGGGGATTGCAGTTTATAATTCCAATAAATGGGGCAAATTCAATAATAACATAATACAAATGAGTTTGAATGCAGGACAGGTCTTCAAAGCATACACAACATGGGCCTACATATGTACAACAATAATAATTTATAAGTTACTGTTTGGATGGAAAGTAAAAGTACAGAAAATTTGTTAAAGGAAATTAAAATGGAGATCATGTCTCAATAATCTCTGAGCAGACAAAATTAGTTAGGTCTCATAAGTGATCTCAACCTCGCTTGATTTGCAAATACAAACAAAACTTACATTATTTCTTGTAGCTGCATATTGAAAAAAGAGAAATGAAGCTCAACCAGTCAGAAGTAGCCAACAACCTTATATAAATAGAAACTGTCCAACAAGGTAAACAGACAAACAAAAAACAATAAAAAAAGTTGTGCTACCACCAAATGATTTCTTTGTTTCTACATTTTTCAAATAAATACTTGCTTCTTACACTGTCAATGAAGCACTCAATATCTTTCCGTCTGATATTTTATAATTTATCAATTGCTCTTACTCAAATAAACACTTTGCAATTTCATTGTGTCTCAAATTACTTTTTAGCAGAATAAACTAGGAATAAATATTACAAAAATATCTACGGAATATGGAAAAAACATAGAAAGTTTATGAAATATATGAATGTAGACATAAGCAAATAGACAATTTGTATCATATTCTTAGGCAGAAAAACTCAATATTATCAACATCAATTGTCCTTATAGTTATTTATAAATTCAATTTTGTTCCTATACTGATACCATTAAATATTGCAAGTACACGTTACTATAAAATGTTATATAGATGAAAACACAAACAAGAATAGACAAGAAAACTCTGAAAAAAAAAAAAAAACCCACTGGCAAGCCCTGCGTAAAATCTTGATTGATTAAAAAACTCATGGATCACTGAAACTAAAAATTCAGAAATAAACCAAAGTGTCTAAGAAAGTGTCATAGTGCATCTTGGCTGCTATAACAAAATACCTTAGACTGGGTAAAGGATAAATAAGAGAAATGTATTTTTCACAGTTATGGAGTCTGGAAAGTGCAAGATCAAGGCAGCAGCAAATTTCGTATATGGTGAGAGCCCTATTCCCCATAGATGGTACCATCTCGCACATGGGACAAGGGCATTCCCTTCAACTTCCTTTGAAAGAGCACTGATTCCATTCATGAAGATGAAGAACTCTTGGCTTCACCACTTTCCCAAAGGCCTCACGCCTAAAATTATACACATGAATTTGAAAGGGGACATAAACATTCAGGCCATAGCAATAAAAACTACATGGGTGGTGGCATCATTTATACATGAGGTGTAAAAATGTGATGTTCTTATCACAAAGGAAATAAATGATTTATTCTTCATGGCATATATCAAAATGAAGGTCCAATGAAAATATTTTTATGAAGATAAATCTATATGGCAAAAAATTAAGTATTGATAAGTTTAACCCTACAGGTTGCATCAGGATTTTCAAGGTTTCCAGGGATGAGCAAGGCCCTGGAGTTTCCTCCTGTGACATTTTCCTGGAAGTTGCTCATGCTGTTATTCAATTTGAAAGTAGATAATATTGTTTGTTTCTCTTCCAATATTTACTAAATTCAAAATAATATAGGGCTCTTTACTCATAATTCTCAAACAATCATTCAGTCAGTGGGGCTCTGCTGAGGAAGAGCACAGACACATCCACACAAGTATGGTGTTCCTCAAATAGAGGACTTCTCCTTGTGCTGGAGCCACCTATGTTGCACTCGATCAGAGGCTTTCCCAGGATAGCATTTCTCTGCAGCCCTACCTCAGTCTTAACCCTGAAAATCCCACTCAGAAGGCGACGGATGAACACCCACCCTAGCATTCTAATCTAATGGATCCTCTCTTAACAATCCCTTCCAGGGATCTGGGATCTTTCCTGGATTCGTCGGCCACACACACCTAGGCTCAAAAATTTGGACAGAAACTTTGATCCTCATTGGCCCTCCTGCCCTGTCCTACCAGCTTCTCTAGAAGTATGCTTCTCTAGAAGTATGCTTCTCTAATTGCTCCTTAGAGACACTATCTAAGGGTATCAACCTGTGCCAATATAATTGATCTCATAAAGTGAGAAGGGAAATAGGCAAGAGTCCAGCTAGCCTAGAAGCAGTGTCTAGGGTTCCTTACCTGATTTATGTCTCTGATTTACCTAAATATTGACAAATACAGATTCACCTCTAGGCAGTAGAAAAACAGAAGGAGAAATCCCAGTTCGTAGAGGAAGAAGAAAATGCAATCAATGCTGTCTAGAGTCCCGCTTAAGCTCAGCCACAGGGTACTAAGTCTCTTCAGGAAAAAGCAATTGTTGTCCATCATCTGAAAAACTGTGGCCTGGAACCATGGGCACCGAGAGTGCACACTGCCCACTAGAGTTCCATGCCTACATCACGGAGAGATAGAATAGTCTCAAAGGATTCTTAAGAGTAATGTGGGGACCAAAAGGAGATGAATCCACAGCCTCTGCCTTACCGTCTGATCTAACTAATAGTATTTCCAGACCTTTCTGTGGGCTGCACCAGGGGTTGTTCAGAAAGAAAAAAAGTTGTTAATGTCCCACCGTTTCCCGTAGCTTCCGAGGTCTGTGTTGTTCATACCCCAGGTTCCAGGTTGTTCTCCCACTACTTCCACAGAATCAGTGTGTCTCATTCCGGTACCTATAATCTCATCTTTATTCTAGTCGCCCTCTACTTTTTTCTAGACACTTTATCTACTAGAGGCAGTTAAAATAGAGACAAGAATATTTACATAAAACTTAGCTGGAACTAAGTTGGAGTCCCATAACTGCTACTAGGCTGAGATGCAACTCAGAGGATACAAAAGCCAGGCTTGCCTAGAATTGCAGTTATGGGAAAGAAAGTCACATTTCACCCAGGAATTATTAGCACGAAATTCCAAGTTTGTGAAATAGATTCCTAGATGATTCCTAGATCTCCCAATCATTTCATCCTTATCTTGGAGGCAATCAGGAAGAGAAAATAAACCATACCTAATCAACAAATTATCTAACCAGCATGTGTGGAAAAGGAGGGAACATCATAGAGTTGGCTTGTTTTAGTACGTGTGGTGAAAAATGCCGCGAAGTCAGAGCTCAATTGGTCTCAAAAGCCTAAAAGATGGCACAGATTAGCTTCACGGGACACATGGTATGGATGGTGTCAGCATACTGTTATGCTGAAGATGTCAAGAGTGGTGACTGATATCTCAAGAAGTGGGCCAAAAGTCCACTTCTGGTTACTCTGCTTGGTATGGTCTAGGAATTCTTCAACCATGAGACAAATAGGTCAACTTTCACCAGCAACCCCAAGTCTGGTTTGCAGTATTAGACTCTGCGTTAGACACAGATTTAGGTTCAATCTGCAGCTTGATTGTTGTCACTCTCTAGAAAACAAACCCTTACCATGGACTTCTAGATGAGTGATCCAGTTAGATCAGCATCTGAGATTGTCTCCAGTTTGCAGCCCAAAAGACATTCAGACAGTCTACAGTTTCCATTGTAGATAACCAAACAGATAGAATATGTGCCATTATCCCAAACCCTGAGTTCTGACCTTTGAGAGGAGCAACCACTCATGTCAGGTTCTGTATGGCTGGCACAGGTTAAACAGCCACAGCGGCCCAGTGGACATCATGAGGTTTCACCTTCCCTGACTCATCTATGAACCAGGACCAGTCATATAGGAAACACTCAGTAAATTGGGGGCCCCACAGAGACAGCATCTTTGCTTCAGAGGATAGAAGGAGGTATAAAATTTCAACCAGCTGGGGATGCTCTAGCCCTCTATGGGTGAAACTGAGTTTCTCAGGAGTTCTGCAGCAAGCTCTTAGCTGACTTTCAAATCAGTGTAACCAGTAGTGTGTCACTGAGTCCAAAAGCCCAAAGAACACCTCTGGGAGGAGGCTAGTCCTTTACTAGAGGCTCCAAATGCCAAAATCAAGATTTTCTTGACCTCAGGATGAATTGATCAATGCAAATCTCCCCAAATATTTTCACTAAACCTTAATTGGAAAGTAAGACTCCAGATTTTTTAACTCTCACTAAACATAAATATCTGATTTTTTCACCTGAGATCTATGTATGTGTGTTGGAGCATGCCTTTACCAATCAGCATAAAGTTACATCTCTCCTTGCGCCTCTACTTTCTACTTGTGCAGAGTTTAAAATGCAGAGGTGAGAGCTTAGGGTTTTCTGGGTCTTTTGCTAAGCATGTACCTGACCTTGAGCATCCCCAATTCCCCATTTCCTTCTTGATCCCAAAGACCGTTATCACAGTCTTAATTCCCAGCAGCTTTTCCTCCTAGAGCTTTTTGACATGATTATTCTTAGACCCAACTGATATCCTTCGTTCCTGGTAGACTGCGTAGCTCATTTCCATTTAAATGCTTTTAGAAATATTAAACTATGGATTTAAGATTTATCTGCTTTTTAAATTAAGTAATGCTGCTCTTAGCCTTCCACAGGACTTGAGGGTTATAAAAAAAAAGGAAGAAAATAATTATTTTATACCAATAGTATGAAAAAGAGACTGGGAATGACTATATTAATAGCAGACAAAATAGACTTAAAAACTTAAAAGAGACAATAAGACATTATATAGTCATAGATTGTCCATTTGGCAGGAAGATAGAAATAGTTTAAACCCATACCTAATAATAAAACATTGAGATATAGAAAGCATAACTTGACAGAATTAAAAGGGCAAAAAGGCAGTTCTAAAATAATAGTTGAAGATGTTAATACTCCACTCTGAGTAATGAATAGAAAAATGAGATAGATGATAAATTAGGAAATAGAGTTCTTGAATAACTCAATGAACCAAATTGATCTAACAGATATATACAATATACTCCATCCAACAAAAGAGACTACACACTCTTCTCAAATGCACATGGGGATTTCCCCACGATGGGCTGTGTAGTAGATCTCAAATTAAATCAATAACAGAAGAAACGTTAGAAAGTTTACAAAACTGTATAAATTAAACAACATACCCTTAAACAACAAATAAGTAAAGGAAGAAATCACAGAGGAAGTTGGAACATACTTACAGAGGAAGAAAAATGAAAACAAAACACATCAAAAGTTAAGGGAAACAGCAAAAAGAGTGCTAAGATGTAAAGTTTGCAGCTAAAATACATTTAAAAAGAACAAAGATTTCAAATAAATAATAACTTTATCACCTAGTAAATTAGAAAAATAACACCAAATTAGATGCAAAGCAAAGAGAAAGAAGAACATATTAAAGCTTTTAGCAGAGATAAATGCAATGGAGATTATACAAACCACAGAATTCCAAAAAACCAAAAGTTCATTCTCACTTCTTCAAAAAATTAACAATTGGCAAACTTTCAGCTACACACACAAAAAATTAACAGCATATTCACATACTAAAATGAGAAATGAAAGTGGGACATTACTACTAATTCAAAGAATTAAAATGTTTAAAAAACTGTACTGTGAACTATGATAGGATGATAAATTGGAAAACGTAGATAAAGTGGGCAGATTCCTAGGTATACAAGACTTGATTACAAAGAAATACAAAATCTGAATAGATACAAAACTACTAAGGAAATGGAATCAGTAATTAAAAGCCTCCTCATAAAGAAAAGCCCTTATTTTGTTGGCTTCACTAGAGATTTAGATCAAGCATTTATAGAACAAAAATCCTTTCCAAAGTCTACCAAAAGCCTGAAGAGAGCAGTTCCAAACTTATTCCATGAAGCCACCATTAGCTCATACCGAAGCCAGACAAAGATACTACAAAAACCCATAGACTAATATCCCTTATGAACACGGATGCAAAACTAGTCAGCAACATCCTAGCTAACTACATTCAGCAGCATACTAGCAAGATTACAACCCATGACCAAGGGGAGTTTATTATTGGAATGAAAGGAAGTTTTAGCATATGGGTGGTTTCAGTGCAGTGGTGTTTACAAATAATTGATCACAACCAGTATAGATTTCTTTATTCTTTTTCCAGTCTCACTGGTTCACTTAGCTAGCCTTTCTTAACAAAAGTTTAAGCATATGAAAATTAATCAATGCATATGCCACATTGACAAACTTTTTAAAAAGTATTCTCTCATTAATACAGATAACGTATTTTACAAAATTCAAAATATTTTATAATAAAAACAATAAATTAGGAATAAAAGGAAACCAGCTTTGTAAAATTCACATATAAAAACCCACAGCAAACAACATATTCCAGAGGAAAAGATCAAAAGTGTTTCCTCTAAGCTCCGAAGACAGAGTGAATATCTGCTCTTGCCAGCCACTTTTATTCAACACTGTATTAGAAGTTTCATTCAGAGAAATTAAAAAAGACAATGAAATAAACTGCATCAAAGTGTGTACAGAAAATATATTCTTATATGTAGAAAATCTTTAAGATTCCACACAAAAAAATTACAACTAATAAATTCAGCTGAATAGTAGCATACAAAATCAACATACAAAAACGAACTGCATTTTATGTAGTAACATGAATAATCTGAGAAGAAAACTCTGAAAACAATTCAATTTACAATAGTATCAAAAGAATAAAGTAGTTAGGAAGTAACGAAGAAGTAAAATGCCAATTACTCTTGTGTAGATATTAAAAAATCAATTTTTAAGTTTATGGGGAATCTCAAAGATCTTTAAATTGCAAAAATAATTTTGAAAAAAATACCAAAGTTAGACAAGTCACACTTAATGATTTCAAGACTTACTACAAAATTCCAAAATAGCATGCTACAAAGAGACTAATGGAGTAATATAGAAGGCCCATATAAATAAACCCTCATATATAAGGTCAAATGATTTTTATGGGAAATGAACTGCCTTTACAACAATTAGTGCTGGGGAAATTGGGTGCCCACATGTAAAAGAGTGAAGCTGGGCCCTTAACTTCTACTATAAGAAAAAATTAACTAACTGGATAAAAGACCTAAATGTAAGAGCTAAAACTACAAAATTCTTACTATAAAATGTAGGTAAAACACGTCATAAGGCTGGATTTGGCAGTGATTTCTTTTAACAGGGCACCAAAAACGCAAGAAACAAAAGAAAAATAAATAAAGAGGACTCTATCCAGAATATACAAAGAACAATTCAGCAATAATAAACTACTTGTTTAAAATATGGGCAAAATACTTAAACAGATATTTCTCTAAAAATTATGTGAAGTGGCTTATAAGCCCATGAAAAGGTACTCAACAAAACCTTTTCATTTTCATTAGTAAAATGAAAATCTAACCCCAAATGACATATCACTTAATGCACATCAGCATAACTAGTACAAAAAGAAAAAAAAAACAGAAAATCACAAGTGTTGGTGAGGAAGTGGAGCAGTTAGAACCCTTGTACACTTGGTGGAAATGTAAAATGCTGCAGCTGCTATAAAACAACACCATAGTAACGAAATAATTTACACTCAAAATCACCGTATGATCCAGCAATTTCACATCTTGGTATGTTGCAAAAGATGTGAAAGCGAAGACACAAAATAATACACGTACACCTAAGCTCATAGCAGCATGACTCACTTCACTCAAAATGTTTTTGAATTACCTGTGTTGTTTGAATTATCGTCAATGAATAAATAGATAAAATGTGATTTATACATACAGTGGGATATTATTCAGTTATGAAAAATAAGGAAATTCTGACACATGGTAAGTCATGCATGAACCTTAAGGACATTGTGCAAAGTGACATGAGCCAGTCATAAAAGGACAAATACTGTATCATTCCACTTATGAGATACTTAGAGTAGTTAAATTCTGGAAACCCACGTAGAAGAGTGGTTCCTAGGAGCTGGAGGGGGAGTAACAGGGAGCTGTTATTTAATGTGTATTGAATTTTGGTTTGGAAGTTGAAAAAAGATCCTTATGAATGGGAATAATAGTTGCAAAACAATGTGAGTGTAGTTAATTTCTCTGAGCTGAACACTTAAAATAGTTAAGATGGTTAATTTTATGTATACTTTGCCAAAATGTAAAAAATATTTTTTAAATAAACAAACTATAGCTATCTGCAATAGCATGAATTAATATCATAAATATAAAGTTGCCTAGAAGAAAGTAGATGTAAAAGTATACATATTATATAATTTCACTTATATAAAATCCAGAAAGTGAACACAACTGAGGTTCTGGTTTCCAGTAATAATGAAGTAGACTAGTTCGTTGAATAACTATTTCACAGATAACAATAATAAAGCTTAATAAAATACTATATTTTGCTATATAGAAAGGCACACTGTTTAGAAGACTGAATGAAGATTTTATCTATGCCACTGTGGAAGAGATAAGGATTGGGGTTTGAATCTATTCAAATTAACTCCCTCTTAAAATAATAATTTTCAAAGAAATACAACAGAATCCAGAGTCCCTGTAGTTCCTATCACACAATTTAAAAATTCATGAGATGTGTGAAGAAGCATGAAAGTGTAATCGATTCACAAGATAAAAAGCAGACAATAGAACCTATTCTCAAGATGTGCAAGATGCTGTAATCAGTAGATAAGATTTGAAAGAAGCTATGGTAAGTACGTTCATGGGGGTAAAAGAAAACAGTCTCATGACAAATGAACAGAAGCGTAACTGTACATTTCATGCGCGTCCGTGTGAAGAGACCACCAAACAGGCTGTGTGTGAGCAACATGGCTGTTTATTTCACCTGGGTGCACGCGGGCTGCGTCCGAAAAGAGAGTCAGCGAAGGGAGATAAGGGTGGAGCCGTTTTATAGGATTTGGGTAGGTAAAGGAAAATTACAGTCAAAGGGGGTTTGTTCTCTGGCGGGCAGGAGTGGGGGTCGCAAGATGCTCAGTGGGGGTGCTTTTTGAGCCAGGATGAGCCAGGAAAAGGACTCTCACAAGATAATGTCATCAGTTAAGGCAAGGACCGGCCATTTACACTTCTTTTGTGGTGGAATGTCATCAGTTAAGGTGGGGCAGGGCATATTCACTTATTTTGTGATTCTTCAGTTACTTCAGGCCATCTGGGCGTATACGTGCAAGTCACGGGGGATGCGATGGCTTGGCTTGGTCTCAGAGGCCTGACATACACTCCCAGTCTTTTGGTCACAGGGCTGTGGGACTGAGGAGGGAAATTAAAGAAAAATAAAATTAAAAAGAAAGAGAAATAAATTTTCTTGTATTGGGCTGACTTGTCCCAGAGGCTTCAACAGGCACAGCCCAGAACCAGGAATAGTCTTGATAATATTATCTAATGTGCTCTGGAGGCTCTCCCAACGCTCCCCCAACATCGGGAAAAGAAAAACAAATTTCCTTTTTTTACGGAATGAGTTTATAGATTCTTGTTCTCTGTAACTAGTGACTTCAAGTATTCTGTTTTATCTAAGAAGTACAATGTAAGTCATGAGAAGCCTGAGTAGGCTGAACTACAGCTGTTTGGGCACCATAGTGAGGGTTATAGGATAAGCCCATGCCCAGGGAAACCTAGAAAATGGACATGTGGGTTGCTTGGCAACGGTCATGTGCAATCCTGTCTGTCCTGCCTCTGTATCCCTGCTTTCACGCCACTGTAAACTTGCTTCAAGCTAGCCCACCACCTTTTGTGAAATGTGCATAAAAGTCAGGTTCTGTCTTTGTTCCGGGCCCAGTCTTTTTGATGTGAGTTAGCTTGTCCTCAGTTTCATGCGCGTCCGTGTGAAGAGACCACCAAACAGGCTTCGTGTAAGCAATAAAAGCTTTTAATCACCTGGGTGCAGGCAGGCTGAGTCCGAAAAGAGAGTCAGCAAACGTAGATAGGGATGGGGCCATTTTATAGGATTTGGGTAGGTAAAGGAAAAAGGGGGATTGTTCTCTGGCGGGCAGGAGTGGGGGGGTCACAAGGTACTCAGTCGGGGAGCTTTTGAGCCAGGATGAGCCAGGAGAAGGAATTTCACAAGACAATGTCATCAGTTAAGGCAGGAACAGGCCATTTTCACTTCTTTTGTGGTGGAATGTCATCAGTTAAAACAAGAACCGGCCATCTGGATGTGTACGTGCAGGTCACAGAAGGTACGATGGCTTAGCTTAGGCTCAGAGGCCTGACACTGAGTGCACTCAATAAAAATTCTCCTGTTTCAACCCGGGGTCTCTCTCATCCTCCTGAATCCCGCAACGGGAGAATTCCAGCATGCACCAGGTTCACGGGACAGTGCACGGTCACTGAAAGAAGAGTGGGGCGGGGAGGGTGGTGTGCGGCTATGAGCACCTCTTGTGCTTGCTGGGAGATGTAGTCTTATAAAGACTCCCAGCCCTTTGGTCACAGGGCTGCAGCACCCCAATTCCAGCATACACCGGAATCAGAGACAGTGCGCGCTGGCAGAGGAAGAGGTAGAGCTGTGCGTGACTCGCTGGGCTTGATGGAAAATGTAATCTCATGAACACTCCTTAATGAACAGTGCGCCTCACTGGAGGAAAAGGCGGGGCTGTGCAGGCCTTGCTTTGCTTGCTGAGAGATGCTGTCTCATAAACACTCCCAGCCCTTTGGTCACAGGGCTGCAGGACTACATTCCCATCATGCACCGGGATCAGGGATAGTGCATGTGCCTGGGTGAAGAGACACAGTTTTGCGAGCCTCCTTTGGCTTCCTGGGAGATGTAGTTTCATAAAGACACCCAGACTTTTCATTACAGGGCAGCCGGACTACAATCCCAGTATGCACCAAGATCAAGGATAGTGCGCGTAACTGCAGAATGAGGCGGCATTGTGCACGCCTCGCTGGACTTGGTGGGATATGTATTCTCATAAACATACCCAACCCTTTGGTCATAGGGCGGGAAGACTACAATCCCAGCATGCACCTGGCTAAGAGACAGTTCCTGTCACTGGAGGAAGAGGCGGAAGACTACAATCCCAGCCAGCACCGGGCTCAGGGAAATTGTGCGTCAGTGGAGGAAGAGGCGGGGTTGTGTGCTACTCGCCAGGCTTGCTGGGAGTTGTATTCTCATAAAACCTCCCAGCCCTTTCATCACAGGGCTGAAGGACTACACTTCCAGCCCCAGCATGCACTGGGCTCAGGGACAGCGCGCGTCACTGGAGGAAGAGGGAGGGCTTTGCGCTTCTAGCTGTGATTTTTTGGGAGATGTAGTCTCATTAACGCTCCCAGCCCTTTGGTCACAGAGATCCAGGACTGCAATCCCAACATGCACCCAGCTCAGGGATAGTGCGCTAATCACTGCAGGAAGAGGCAGGGCTGTGTGCACCTCCTGGGCGTACTGGGAGATGTATTCTCATAAACACTCCCATCCCTTTGGTCATAAGGCTGCAGGACTACAATCCTAGCATGCACTCAGCTCAGTGACAGTGCGCTAGTCTAAGGAGAAAGAGGCAGGGCAGTGTGCGCCTTGCTGGGCTTCCTGGGAGATGTAGTCCCATGGCCTCTCCCTGCCCTATGGTCACAGTGCTATAAGACTACAATCCCAGCATGCACGGGGCTCAGGGAGAGTCCACATCACTGCAGAAAGAGGGGCAGGTTGTGCGCACCTCGCTGCGTTTGCTGGGAGATGTTGTTTCATAAAGACTCTCAGACCTTTTGTCACAGGGCTACAGGACTACAATCCCAGGATGCATCGGGATCAAAGCAGTATGCGACACGGGGAAAAGATGCGGAGCTGTGTGCGTCTCCCTAGGTCTTCTGGGAGATGTGGTCTCTTGGCCCTTTGGTCACAGGGCTGCAGGACTACAATGCCAGCATGCAGCGGGTTCATGGACAGTGTGTATCACTGGAGGAAGACGTGGAGCTGTGCGTGCCTCGCTGGGCTTGCAGGGAGATGCAGTCTCATAACTACCCCAGTCGTTTGGTCGCAGGGCTGCAGCAGTACAATTTCAGCATATCTCTGGCTCAGGGAGAGTGCACTAGTCACTGGAGGAAGAGGTAGGTCTGTGCGCACCTCTCTGGGCTTGCTGGGAGAGGTAGTCTCATAAACACTACCAGCCCTTTCATCACATCGCTGTAGGACTACAATTCCAGCATGCACGGGGCGCCGGGGCAGTCCGCCTCACTGGAGGAAGAGAAAGACGTGTGAGCGCCTTGCTGGGCTTTCTGGGAGATGTTGTCTCTTTATTTCTCCCAGCCCTTTGGTCACAGGGCTTCAAGACTACAATCCCAGCATGCATCCTGCTCAGGGACAACGCGCGTCACTGTAGGAAGAGGTGGACCTGTGCTGTTCTCGCTATGCTTTTTGGGATACGTATTCTCGTAAACACTCCCAGCCCTTTGGTCACTGGGCTGCATCACTACAATCCCAGCATACATCGGGATCAGGGAGAGTGCGCTAATCAGTGGAGAAAGGGGCGAGGCTCTGCACACCTCGCTGGTCTTGCTGGGAGATGCAGTCTCATAAACACTCCCAGCCCTTTGGTCACTGGGCTGCAGCGCTACAATCCTAGCATGGACCGGGCGCAGGGAATGTGCGCGTCACTGGAGGAAGAGGCAGGGTTGTGCACGCCTCTCTGGGCTTGGTGGGAGTTGCAGTCTCATAAACACTCCCAGACCTCTCATCACCGGGCTGCAGGACTACAATCCCAGCATGCACCCGGCTCAGGGAGAGTGCGCATTACTGGAGGAAAAGTCTAGGCTGTGGATGCCTCCTTCTGCTTGCTGGGAGATGTAGTTTCATAAAGACTCCCAGAACTTGTGTCACAGGGCTGCAGGACTACCATCCCATTATGCACTGGGGTCAGGGACACGGCCCGTCAGTGGAGAAAGAGGCGGGTCTGTGTGCGTCTCCTTCGGCTTGCTGGGAGATGTATTCTTATAAACACTCCCAGCCCTTTGGTCAAAGGGCTACAGGACTACAATCCCAACATGTGCCAGTCTCGGGGGCGAGGTACAGGCCTGGAAGAAGGGGCAGAGTGGTACACGCCCCACCTAATATGCTGGGAGCTGTAGTCTGTTAACTGCTCTCAGCCTGTTTGTCGGTAGGCTTCAGAACTATAATCACAGCATGTACCGGGACCCGGGGTGCATAGCCCTGGAGGGAGGGGCAGAGCGGTGTGGACTTCCCGGTGTCCAAAGCACTGCTGAGTTCTTATGCTATGCCGACTCTTTGCCAAGGAGAATGAGTACATAGGTGGACCTAGAGGACAGGTCTGCGCTGAGCATTGAGGAGGGTATTACCCTACATAGGCACCTTACCTTTGCCCAAATCGGGCGGGTTGTCCTCAACTGATTGGCCCTATCCTTCTCAAGTTCCTCTTTCAGCTGCACCCAGGGTTCTTTCCAGAGCATTGCGCCTTCTGCAGCCCAGGGCGCTACCTTCTTTCCTAAACTGCTGTGGAAACTGTCCTGATGTCTGAGACACTGTCCATTGTGCCGCAGCCCTCTTTTTTCTCTAGCCAAGCCTCATGCTCAACAGCTTTTGAGAGAAATCTTCCACGTGGCCTGCTTATGAACAGCTTCAGAATTCTGTAGGGGGTGACAAGGTCTGTGGCTTCCTGGAAATGTCACTCTCAATGGCGCCTTTTTCACGAATGTGAAAGTTGAGGCATCAGGAAGGTTAATTATTGGGTTGCACAAAATCTGCTAAGAGCAAAGGAGAAAACCCCATTTCCGAGGCATGAGTCTTGTGAGCCATTTTCATCAACCCATTTAAGTGGACAAGCTCCAAAATGAAACCTGAAGCTGCTGACTATTTAGGCATTTTACACTTGAAATCATCGGTCTCATCTCAAGTCACTCCTGACTTGCCAGTGTCTCAGAAACACAAATGGGACCGGATCCCTCAGGAGCAGATAGTGTTCCAGCTTTGTTGGAGCGACATTTAAGATGTGGAGCACTTGGGGTCGTTTGAAACCCGCTATCTTCAGTAGGGACTTTTACTTCTAGAGAACATGTGCATTTTGATTTTATCTGTCCTCAAACTGAACTTTTGCTCATTTTAATAGTAAAAACACATTCCTAGGTGGAGACTTAAGATGCTAATGAGACATGCAATGTATGCACAAATATGTACAGTTAGTGCACATGTGCACCCAGAAGACCACTCAAAACATGCTTACACTAACACTTCTTTCCACCTTCTTATGAATAATCGTGCAAAACCCCCAGAAGGAGGGTTTCTCCAGTAACAATTAATGGTGTCTCACTCTTATGAGCAGCCTGCCCTGCAATCTCTTTCTCAGAATGTACCGTCTATTCTGCACTTAATTTTCAAAGTAGTCTTTTCTTTTTTTGTGTGCAATAAATTACTCTATGCTGTACTTCTTTTGCTGTGTGTTTCTTGTTTGAATTCTTTTAAACTAAGAAAATAAGAATCAAGGTATTACATCAGCCATCAACATTTCTTTTGCCATGGCCTGGAGAGAGGTCTGTCCGCTTCACTGATTTCACTTTCCCTTTACTTGCCGTGAATACTGTGGCACTTCCAGACTACCTGGTTAACTATCGCTGGTTCTTCCAGCACTGTTTCACTAAAGTTCTGGGGAAACCCTGTCCCTTTAGGCTTTATGCATTTCCCAGCTCCTTGAAATTGTTCTTCAACAGGCTTTCTTTGCTGAACAAAAGATGCACAGTCATGGATATGCCCAGTCATAGGGATTGAATCTGAGCATTGCAGGTGTTATAATTGGGCATCATAAATGGCAAACCACTGAATTAGGGAAAGGCTTGTCAGCCAGACATCTGCTCCCCAGCGAGCAGTGGGGGTCATCTCGGCAGGGCTGGAGATGTCCAGCGCTGGTGAGAGCTAGGACGGTGCATGGCAAATGCCTATGACCTCCTAGAGCTTCAGTTAATGGGGTTTCAAGGGGATGAGTTGGACAACTTGGTGGTTCCACTTGGCTCATGGGGCTGCCCACAGCCTCCTGGACTTTAGTACATGTTCTGTCGTTTGCAGGATTCTCTCGGCACCATGGGAATCACTTCCTCTACTGTCACTGAAACACACCTGGGATGTATATTTAAAAATTGAAACAGCTTTTGGCTAAATGAAGCAAAAAAACAATTATCTTCTTTTGTAAAACTATTTAGCCTGCATACAGATTAGCTGACAAAACATGGCTGGAGAATGAGACTGTGAAATTTAACACCATCATACAGCTAGATCTTTTCTGTAGTAATCAGGGAAAATGGTCTGAAGTATCCTATGTGCAAGACTTTCTGGCCCGACAACAAAACCCAGCTCCATGCAGCACCTGTGGGCTAAAGCCTAGTAAGCCACAAAGCCCCTCAGATCCATTAGAAGATCATTTGTTTTATGGGCAAGTGACCCCAGACCCCACAGCCTAATACCAGCTCCAGATAGGGGCCCTCAGAGGCCTACACCTGCTTTAGAATCCCCAGCGTCCCCACACTATCAGAGTCTTCTGTAGAATCTAAGCTTGTTTCATCTCCTCCTTATGCTCCTCTATCAGCCTTTGCCAGTTACAATAGAGACCAGTCCAGCTGCAGTTACTCACAGTGGAGCTTCACACCATGCAGGGCCAGAGAATTTGATCCGCTTACAGAAAGTCTCAAATGGAGAGAGGACCATCAGAGTGCTTCTTCTCTTCCCAGTAAATGATCTAATCCAATGTAAGCAACAGCTCTGATGGCTCTCAGACAACTTCAGCGCGTTTACTGAAGCCTTCCAGTCTCTAACTTTGACCACCATTCAACTTTACCATCCATAAATGGACCCAATGACTGCTGCCAACTCAGCTGCACAAAACTTTTTCTTATTTGCGAAAAATAGAAAAGACTTAAAACTTTTGCTGCTTTCACCATTTTAAAGCAGAATACTTTTGCAGCACAAATGTCACCATAAGGTGGATCCTTGGGAATCCAGTACAAACTATCTCAGAAAATCTCAGTGTGTCCCCAACAGGCAGCAGAGGGCCTCAATAGACTTCAACAACGTCTGGACTCCATGGCCACTGTATTCCAACAAAATCAAAGAGCCTGGGATCTTCTCCCAGCCAAGCAAAGAGGAACAGGTTTATATCTAAAAGAAGAATGCTGTTTTTTGAGATCAATCAGTCTGGTTTATTCCAAGAAAATATTAATAATATCATCACCCAGGCAGACAAAATTGAATCTCTAGGAACTTCCATGGGAACATGAAAGCAATGTCCATTGCCTGCCTTGCTCTCTTTAATAGTACCCGTCATTATTATATTTTCAACTTCTACTTTTGTTCCAATTTTGTTTAAAATGTTAACTGATTTCCTGCTATGTTGCTTGTGGCAACTCCATGTTTGCATGATGGTTTGCAAGGCTTTCAATCTTTGGCTGCCAACATCTTCCCACTGGTTCCACGAACGACATGGTTTACACCCTGTTAGATCACACAGGAAGAAACTTTAAGGCCCAGGCTAGGCAGAAGTAACACCCACTCAGCAGGAAACAGCTCCAGAAAAAGTGGTCTAACCCCTCAACCTCCAATATGGTTATTGCCCTAAAATCTCTTAGGGGGAAATTGAGGCAGAATAGATAGTACAGAAAATGACCATGATCTCGGGATAGAGAAACCATGGTGACTGTACAGCCAAAACAATAAGCCTTAGCATTCGCATTGTAATTTGGCTTATTCGAGCAAAGCTATCCTCATTAAGGACTTTCTGTTCTAGAGAGCATGTGTATTTTGATTTTACCTGCCCTCAAACTTAAATTTTGCTTATTTTAATAGCAAACAATGCACCCCCTAGCCAGGCACGGTGGCTTATACCTCTACTCTCAGCACTTTGGGAGGCTGAGGAAGATGGATCACTTCAAACTAGAAGCTCGAGACTAAACTGGCCAACATAGAGAAGCCCCGTCTAAATTAAAAATACAAAAATTAGCAGGGTATGATGGTGCATGCCTGTAATCCCAGATACTCAGGAGGCAGAGGCACGAGCATGGGTTGAACTCAGGAGGCAGAGGTTGCAGTGAGCAGAGATCACACCACTGCACCGCAGCTTGGGCAACACGGCGAGACTCTGTCTCAAACAAACAAACAAACACACAGAAATACACTCCTGGGTGGAAATATAAGATGCTAACGAGACATGCAACATATGAACAAGCATGTACAGCTACTGCGCATATGCACCCAGAATACCACAGAGAACATGTTTACTAGCAACTCCTCTTCCCTCCTCCTTATTAATAATAATGTAAAACTGCCATAAAGGGGTTTCTCCAGCGACAGTCCACGCTGTCTCACTCTTATGAGCAGTCCGCCCTGGAGTATCTCTCTCAGGGTGTACTGTATTCTGCACTTAACTTTCAAATATTTTCTTTTCCAATAAATTATGCTGTACTTTTTTTCTTTGTGTCTCTTGTTTAAATTCTTAAAATCTAGGAAAACAAGAACAGAGGTATCACATCAGTTGTCAACACAGCAATAAGTCAGCCTCCTTCTTGTAAGCATAGCCCATGTAGAAAAGGAGAGTCGCATCACCTCGGTGCTGGATCCAGAGGTATGTCACAATTTATCCCATGCACAAAGTTAAGGTCATTGAGGAGAGTCATATTAAATAATTTCTGGGCCCAGGGATTTGTCACAACAGCTCCTGTGAGAAGAGATGAGGCAGCATAATCACATAACCGGTGTGCTGGACACAGCGATAAGCCACCTTTCATCTGTGGGCATGACCCAGGCAAGAAAGAAGAGTCACGGCATTTAGGTGCTTGCTGCAGAGGTACGTAACAATCTCTCTTATGGGCAAAGCTCAGGTAAGAGAGAAGAGTCAAATCTCCAAGGTGATTCATGTAGAAATTTGTCACAAGAGACTTTTTAGGCAGGGCCCATGTTGGATCTTCTTATCTTCCAGAAGTTAGGTACAGGGATATGTCAGAATACCCAAAATACACAGGGCTCAGTCAATAAAGAAGAGCCACATCACCCAGGTGCTGGGTCTAGACATATGTCACATCTCTTTTATGGGGAAAGCTCAGGTAAAAAAGGAAGGTCATATCAAATAGTTGATAGACCCAGAGATATGTCACATTGTCTCCTGCTTGAAGTGTCTAGGCCAAAGACTCACATCACATTGGTGCTAGGCCTGTGTTCATATATAAACATTCAACCAGAGTTGAAATGGTGGCTCGTTTCTAAACCCAGCTTATAGGCAAGGGATGAGTCTCCTATCCTGACATAGTTAATTGTAATGATGTTGACTCTCATCCCTGGGCTTAATGTTACAAGTATGATCATGGGTCCCTACCTTTAGGAAGGTCTCAAAGTTGATTACAACTCTCATTCATACAGTATAGGGCCATTGGGTAGTACACAGAGCGTGCTAACTGGGCCGAGCACACAGGTGAGATTGTGAGACTCATATGCATACCCAGCCAACAGTAACTATTGTCATCCTCTCACGGGAACACAAGTCAGTCTGCAGAGGAATTGAGGCTCTCATGCACAAATCCAGTCTGGTGTTGAGATGGTTATTCGTGGGCTTAGACCCAACATACAGGAGGTGTTGAATGTCATGCCTACCACTGAGACAGCTGTGCGATTGTTAATCTAATTCCTGGACCATTCTGCAGCTTCCATTGTCAAATTTCCCAGTGCCTAGCACCTAAGTGACTTGACGGGCTCGCATGGACCCAGCCCACAGATGGGATATTAACATATTGCTGGATCCAGCACATTGAGGATGTAACTCTATTCTCCTTCGTTGGCACTGCCCACAGTGAGCAGTTTGACATATCGCTAGACCTTACACCCAGGTGATGTGAGTCTCCTCTTCTGACTTGGCGCTGCCCTCAGGAAGCGTTGTTATATATAGCTTGGCCTCGCATCCAGGTTATGTGACTCTCCGGCTTGTGCACTGCCCATATGGGACACTGTGTTAATATTGCTGGGTCCACTACTCAGGTGATGTAACCCAACTGCCTGGGCCCTGCCTTACAGGGGCATTGTGACATATCTCTGTGCTCATCAGCCAGGTGATGTGATTCTCTTCTCCTGCCTGGTCCCTTTACACAGAAGGGATTGTGACACGTTGCTGGGCTTAGCACCAAGTTGATGTTGATGTGAATCTTCTGCCTGGATCGAGTTCACAGAAGGCATCGTGACATACCTCTGGGTACATCACCTATTTGATGAGACTCTCCTCTCTTACCTGAGCATTGCCCATAAGAGAGATTGTGACATATCCCTGGGTCTAGCACTGGGATGATGTGAATTCTCTCTGCCTGGGTCATGCCCACAGAAGGAAGTGTGACTTATAACTGGGAACAGCACAGGGGTGATGTGATTCTTCTGCCTGGTCCCTACGTACAGGAGTCATTGTCAAATGCCTCTGGGCCCATCATCTAGACTATGTGACTCTCTACTTCTTCCTAGGGCCTGCTCACATAAGGATTGTGACATATTACATGCCCTACATCATGTGACTTTTCTCTCATGTCTGGGCTCCGTCTTGGAGATGAATGTGACACATACCTAGGCCTGTTACCTAGGTTCTGTAACTTCTCGTTTTTCAAAATCCTACCCACCAGGGGCATTGAAACATCTCTGTGGGCACTTCACTTAGGTAATGTTACCCTGTTACCTGGAGCCTCCCCTCTGGGGGGTATGGTGACATATTGCTGGACACAGTGCCTATGTGATATTCTCTCCTTTCTTGCCTGGGCCTTGTATACATTATGTATTCTAATATACGGCTGGGTTTAATGACTAGGTGATGCAACTCTTATGCATAGGCCCTACCCACAGGGACATTATGACATTTCTTTAGCTCTGACTCTCCTCTTTTGCCTTAGCCCTGCCAAAAAGGGAGGTGGTGACATATAACTGGACCTAGCAACCAGCTAATATGAGTCTCCTCTTTTGCCTGCACCCAGCATATTTTGGGTATTGTGATGTATCCTTTGTCTCAACACCTGCAGGATGAAAGTCTCCTGCCTGAGCCCAGCCATCTGTCAAAATTGTTTCTCCCACATGAACATGGACCATAATTGAGGTTCTGAAACTCACACCCAGAGGCAGTCAAAAGTTGGAAAATTGGCTCTTAAAAGTGGATATTGTCTGCCAGTGGGTTTGTGACTCCCTGACCAAGATCCAAAACACTTGTGAGGCTGTGAGTCCACTAAGATAACTCCGTTTTCAAAAGGGATTAAGGCTCTCATGGAAAAAACCCATTCCTCCATTGAGATTGTGACTTATGCACATAGATACAACGTACAGGAGGCGTTCACTCTCATACCCAGAACCGGAACTTATGTGGGATTGTTAATCTCATCCATGGACCTTCCTGCAGGTGTGATTCTGACATACACCTCTAGCCAGCACCTGAGTGATTTGACATTTTTGCCTGGGTGTAGCCCACAGATGAGATTGTGATATATCTCTGAATCCAGCATCTAATTAATATGCTTCTATTCTCCTGTCTTGGCACTGCCCATAATGGGTATCCTGACCTAACACTGGTCCTGGCACTTTGTTATGTGACTCTGTCCTGTGCTTTGCCCACATGAGCCATTGTGACATATTGCTGGGTCCAACACCCAGGTGATGTAACTCTTGTCTAGACTTTGCCTACAGGGGGCATAGTGACATATCTCTACACTGACCACCCAGGTGATGGGACTCACTTCTCCTGACTGCTACCTGTTTATAGCAGGGATTGTTACAAATCGTTGCGGGCAGACTCTAGGTAATGTGACTGTCTTTTTACAGAGCGCTACCCACAGGAGCCATTGCAAAATATCTGTGGGCCTCTCACTCTTTGCCTGGGCTCATTTCTCAGGGGTATTGTGACATATGGATGACCTCAGCACCGAGGTGAACTGAGTTTCTTCTACTGTAGGGCTCTGACCAAAGAGAGATTACAATGTATCACCGGGCCCAGCACCTGAGCTATTTGACTATCCGCTCTTGGCTGCATCCTACATTTATTGTGTATTGTGACATATCACTGGGTCCAACACGTAGGTAATGTGACTCACCTGCATGGGCCATTTCCCCATGGGTACTATGAAGTATCTTTTTGTTCATCACTTAGGTGATGCAACTCTCCTCTTTGCCTTGGGCCCCACATAATTTAGCTATTGTGATGTATCACTGGGCCAATCACCTAGTCAATAGGAAGTTTCTGCCAAGACCCTGACTACTGAGGGCCTTGTGACATAGCTCTGCATTTATCACCTAGAAAATATGATCCCCCCCATTTCTGCCTGAACCCTGCTCACAAGAAAAATTGTAGCATACTTCTGGGCCCAGCAAACAGGTGATGTGTTTCACCTGCCTGTGCTTAGTTCACAGGGAAAATTGTGACATATCACTGGGCCCAGAACCCAGGTGAGGTGACTCTGCTGCATGTGTCGTGCTTTCAGGAGAGAACAAGAACATATCCCTGGCAGAACTCTTAGGGATGTGACTCTCTTGCCTTGTCCCTGTCCTCAGGGAAGACTGCAACATGTCCCTGACACAGACCCAGGTGATGAGACTCTCCTGCTTCTGACTACCCAAATGTGAGATTGTCACATATATTTTGGCCTAGCATGTAGGTGTGATGATGACATTCATACCTTAAACCAACCAATAGCAGAGATACTTTCTCTCACAGCCAGGCTTAACAAAACTTGCAAAATTATGGGTCTTCTCTTACTATGAAGGTCAGAGAAAGTAAGCACTCTTGCATATCCTATAAAGCACTCAGATGGTACAGTGTCATCACAGGGCCCAGAACACAGGTGAGATTGTGTTCTCTGTGTGCACACCCACCAATCATCAGAATTGTCATTCCTACACAGGAACAGAGGTGATTAGGGAGGTCTAAACCTCATACCTGAATGCCGTCCACAGCTGGAATTGTAACTATCACATGTGAACATCCAGTCACAGTTGGGATAGTGACTTATTTCTGAACCCAGTTTACAGCCAAGTAAAGATCCTCTTATCTGGATCCAGCCAGCTGGAGAGATGTTGACTCTCATACCTGGACTTATGGCCACAGGTATGATCATAGGTTCATATCAGCATGAAGACGTCAGAGTGGATTATGTTTAATGCATACTCTACAAGGTCCACAGGAGGTACATAGTGTCCTAACAGGGCCCAGCAAACAGGTGAGATTCTAACACTCATGCACACTCTGGTGACAATAAAAGTTACCATCCTCAAAAATGGGTACAACCGGCATGGCTCAGTGGCTCACGCCTGTAATCGCAGCACTTTGGGAAGCCGAGGCGGACAGATCATGAGATCAGGAGATCAAGACCATCCTGGCCAACATGGTGAAACCACGTCTCTCTACTATTTATGATTATGATTATGATTATGATTATGATTATTATTTTGAGACAGAGTCTTGCTCTGTCACCCAGACTGGAGTGCAGTGGCACCATCTAGGCTTACTGCAACATCCGCCTCCCTGGTTCAAACAATTCTCTTGTTTCAGCTTCCCGAGTAGCAGGGACTACAGGCTCATGCCACCATTCCCAGCTAATTTTTGTATTTTTAGTGGAGACGGGGTTTCACCATATTAATTAGGCTGGTCTCAAACTCCTGACCTCAGGTGATCCACCCACCTCGACCTCCCAAAGTGCTGGGATTACAGGCATGGGACACTGTGCCTGGCCACCCCATCTCTACTAAAAATACAAAAATTAGCTGAGCGTCGTGGCACGTACCTGCAATCCCAGCTACTCGGGAAGCTGAGGCAAGAGAGTTGCTTGAACCCAGGAGGCAGAGGTTGCAGAGAGCCGAGATCGCCCCACTGCACTCCAGCCTGGCGATAGAGTGAGACTCCGTCTCAAGGGACCAAAAGAAGAAAGAAAGAAAGAAAGAAAGAAAGAAAGAAAGAAAGAAAGAAAGAAAGAAAGAAAGAAAGAAAGAAAGAGAGAGAAAGGAAGGAAGGAAGGAAGGAAGGAAGGAAGGAAAAGAAAGAAAGAAAGAGAAAGAAAGAAAGGAAAAGAAAGAATTAAAGAAGAAAGAAAGAGAAAGAAAGAAGAAAGAAAGAAGAAAGAAGAAAGAAGGAAGGAAGAAAGAAAGAAAGAAAAAGAAAGAAAGAAAAAAGAAAGAAGAAAGAAGAAAGAAAGAAAGGAAAGAAAGAAAGAAAGAAAGAAAGAAAGAAAGAAAGAAAGAAAGAAAGAAAGAAAGAGAAAATTGACTCTCATATATGGATCTTGTCCACAGGTAGGTGGGTGAGTCTCAAACCAAAATTCATTACATCTGTGAGACTGTAACTCTCCTAAGGGGACACGGTCAGCCAGAGAAGACACATTTATGAATCCAGTTCACTGTTGAGATTGAGACTGGTGTACTTAGGCCAAACATACAAATTCTCATACCTGGAATCCGGACATGTGTGGAGTTGTTCATCTCATCCCTGTCGCTTTCTGCAGGTGGGATTGTGACATACATCTCTGCCCAGCTCCTGAGTGTTTTAGCTCTGTTTCCTGTGTCCAGCTCACAGATGGGATTCTGATATATCACTGAAGCCAGCACCTAGATGATGTGACTCTTATCTCCTGCCTTAGTGCTGCCCACAGGGGACATTGGGACATATCACTTGGCCTTGCACCTAGGTAATGTATGTTTTCTGTCTTGCATTAGTGCTACTCACAGGGGTGTTGTGATGTATTGCTGGGTCCCACATCCATGTTATGTGACTCTTCTGCCTGTGCCCAGTCCACAATGGCCATTTTGACATATTGTTGCATCCAAAACCTAGATGATTTAGCTCTCCTTCCTGAGCTTTGCCTAAGGGGACATTGTGAAATATCTATGAGCCCATCACCCATGTGGTGTGATTTTCTTCTCCTGCCTAGTCCCTGCTTAAAGAAAGGATTGTGACATATCACTGTGCCCAGCACCTAGCTCATGTTACTCTTCTTTTGTTTTTTAGGATTTGTTTGGAAGGAGATTGTGATACATTGGTGGGTCCAACTTCTCGGTGACATTACTCTGTTGACTTTGCTCTGCAAGCAGAAAGCACTGTGACACATTATTGGGCCCAACACCAAGGTGAGTCTCCTGCCTGAAGCCTGCCTACAGCAATTTGTAACATATGGCATTGGGACATATCTCTGAGCCCATCAACTATTTGACAAGATTCTCCTTTTTTAACAAAGGCTTTGCCCATAGGAGAGATTGTGACATAATTCTGAGCCCAGAAAATAGGGGATATTTCTTTTGTTTTCTGCTTGAGCCCCACATTGTGATGTATTTCTCCTCCCAACAACTGAGGGAAGGGAAAGTCCTGCCTGGGTCTTGCCTACAGGGAGCCTTGTGAAATCTTTCCGCGTTCATCACCTTAAATATGTGACCCTCATCTTCTGCCGTGGCCATGTTTACAGAAGGGAGAGTGGGTTATTCCTAGACCCAGCACACAGGTCATGTGATTCTGCAACCTGGTGTCTCCAGAGGGGTCATTTTGACATATCTCTAGACTCATCAACTAGATAATGTAATGCTCCTCTTCCCCCTGAAACCTATCCATAGTGGAGATTGTGAAATACAGCCTGGCACAGCACCTACATGATGGTACTCTCTTCTCATGCTTGGGTGCTGCCCACAGGGGTGATTGAAACTTATAGCTGGGTACAGTCTTCAGGTGATGTAACTCTCCTCTATTTTTGGGCCCACACACACAGGGCACTACCATATAGCTCTGCTCCTCAGACCTAGGTGATGTGACTCTGCTGTCTGTTACCTCCTCTTAGGGGGAATTGTGATATATTGCTGGGCCCAGAACCGAGGTGATGTGGCCTTTTCTCTTGCCTGGGCCCTGCATACATGGTGTACAGTAACATATATCTGGGTTGAACACATAGGTGATGTGACTCTTCTGCATAGGTCTCGCCAACAGGGGTATTATGACATACTCTTCTATTCATTGCCTAGGCGATGTGACTCTCCACTCTTACCTGGGCCCTTCCAAAACAGAGGATTGTGACATATCAGTGACCCTACCACCAAGGTAATGTGACTGTTCTCTTTTGCCTGGGTTTGCATATTTTGGGTATTGTGACATATCCCTGGGCCCAACACTTAGGGAATAAAAGGTTTATTCCTCTACCTTACGTGCAGTGAAGCTTGTGACATATTTCTACATTCATCACCAAGAAGATGTGACTCTTCTGCCTGCATCCTGAACACAGAGAGGATTGTGAAATATTGCTAGATCCAGCATGCAGGTGATGTGTCTCTGCTGCCTGGTTCCTAATGTGAGGAGTGGATTCCAACATACCAATGCCTGAACATTCAGGTAATGTGACTGTTGCCTGGTCCCTGTCCTCAGGGAAGCGACATATCACTGGCCCAGCGTCCAACTGATTTTACTCTCCTGCTCTCTTCCTATATGCAGGTGTAATTGTGACATATATCTTGGAACACAACACACAGGTGCAATGATGACATTCATATGTCAAACCAGCCAATAGAAGAGATACTGCTTCTCCTAGCTACACTTAGGGAAATGAAAAAAAACCCTAGGTCTCCTCGCTAAGATCATCCACTCTCTCACATATTACAGAAAGCCCTCGGGTGGTAGAGAGTCTTATCACAGGGCCCAGCACACAGGTGAAATTTGTTACTCCTATGCGCACCCTGAACCCTCCTGACCATTATGATTTTCACCCTCACATATAAACAGAACCCACTGGTGAGGTCCTGAATTTCACACATGAATGCAGTTTATAGTTGGAATTGCGAATCTCATATGTAAAGATCTGGCCAGAGTTGGAATGGGAACTTTGTTATAAACCCAGCGCATAGAAAGCTGATGATTCTCTTATCTGGACCCCGCCAATTGTAAAGATGTTGACTCATATAGGCTTAGGGCCACAGGTTTGATCATGGGTCCATACCAGCATGAAAATCTCTGAAAGAATTGAGACTGTCATGCATACAACATAAAGCCGTCAGGTGCAACACAGAAAGTCCTAATAGGGCTCAGCACACAGTAATATAATGACATTGGGATGCACACCCAGCCAACATTAAAGATTGTCGTTCTTTCACATGATCATAGTTCACTTTTGAGGCTCTGAATCCCATACCCAAAGGCAGATTGACAAGTTGAAAAATTGACTCTCATATTTGAGAGTCACAGATGTGTTGATGACTCTCAGATCATGAGTCAGCACACCTAGGAAGCTGTGATTTCAATTAGGGGACAAAGTACGCAAGAGAAAATGGGGCTGCCATGCACAAATTTAGTCCACTATTGAGATAGTGACTTGTGTACTTAGATCAAACATACAGAAGGTGTTCACTCTCATGCGTAAAACCAGAATATGTGCGGGATTCATCCCATATCTGGACTTTCCTGCAGGTGTCATTGTGACAAGCATACACATTTGTCCAGCACCTGAGTGATTAGACTCTTCTGTTTAAGCCCAGCTCACAAATAAAATTGGGACATATCATTGGACCTAGAACATAGGTGATGTGGCTCTATTCTCTTGCCTTCGTGCTGCCCACAGGGAGCATTGTAACGTATCACTGAACTTAACACCTAGGAGATTAGAGGCTCCTGCCTGAACTCTGTCCACAGTGAGCCTTGTAGCATATTTCTGCTTCCAACACCAGATGATGTGACTCTCCTTTCTGCCTGCACCTTGCCCACAGGAAAGATTCTGACATATCACTGGGCCCAGTAATCAGTAATCAGGTGATGTTTCTCTCCTGCTATGGTCTTGCCCACAGGGAGTGTGGTGACATATCACTGAGCTCAATATTCAGGTGATTTGACTCTGCTGCTTGTACTCTGATTTCAGGAGGGGATTGTAACATATCCCCTGTGAGCACACAAGTGATGGGACTCCCCTCCTAGCCTCTGACCTCAGAAAACATTGTTACATATCCCTGGCCCAGCCTTAGGTATGTGACTCTCCTACCTGTTCCCTGCCATCAGGGAAGATATTGACAGATCTCAGGCCAAGCATCCCGGTGACGTGACTCTCCTGCTCACTCCCTACCCACAGAAGAGATTGAAACATATATCTTGGCCAGCTCACAGGTGTAATAATGACTCTCATACCTCAAACCTGCCACTAAGAGAAATGCTGTTTTTCATAGGGAGGCTTTGGAAAACCGGTAGGTCTTAACTCTTCCTTTTGTATGAAGGACTTAGAGGAATACAACTCTCTCATATTATATAAAGCTCTTAAATGGTACAAAGAGTGTTATCACAGGGATATGTTGCATAACCTAGGGGAGGGGCCCAGTTATATGTCACAATTAGCCCAGGGGGCAGGGCACAGGCATGAGAAGAATCTCACCTCATATGTGCTGGCCTAAGTGATACATCATCATCCCCACTGTGGACAGGTCGCAGTAAGAACAGGAGAGTCACATCATTCTAATAATGGTCTCAGATATACATCACAATGACTCCCCTGGGCAGAAACAAGGGATAAGGTTCACATCACCTGTGGGCTAGGCCCAGAGATGTCACTCTTACTTCTGTGGGCATGTCTCAGGCTGGAGAGGAGAATCACATTACCTAAGCACTGGATCAAGAAATACTTCACAATCTTTCTCATGGGCAAAGCCCAGGTAAGAGAATAGAGCCATATCAAATAGTTCATGGGCTCAGAGATATGTTACAATGCTCCCTGTGGGCAGGGTTCAGGTAGGACAATCACATTACCTTGGTGCTTGTTCAGCAATATATCCCAAAGCCTTCTGAGGGCAGAGCCAAGACAAAAGAGTAAAATCATTTTGGTGTTTTACAAATAGATATGTCACAATCTCCCCCGAGGGCAGAACCTGAAAAAAGGGAAGAGTCACATTAGCTAAATGCTGCGCCGGGTGATAAGTCACAATTCACCCTGTAGGCAGAGACTAGACAGAAGATAGAGTCACATCATCTAGTGGCTGGTGCAGAGATATGCCACCATGCCCTCTGTAGGCAGAGTTCAGACAGGAGAGTTATGTCACCTGTGTTTTGGACCCAGAAATATGTCACAAAAGCCCATGGACAGAGCACAGGAAAGACAGGCACATAACCTGAATATCAGCTTCAGTGGTATGTCCCAATGCCTCCTGTGAGCATTCCAAGGCAGGAGAGGAGACTCACATTACCTGTGTGCAAGACCCAGTGATACGTCACACGGAGGAGTACCACTGTCATGCATATTGTGTAAACTATGGTAGAGAAATTGTCACCAAAGGGCTCAGCACACTGGTGAGATTATACTTCTCAGATTCACACCACACCAATATTCAGGATGGTCTCTATCACACGTGGAGAGAGCCCACTCTTGAGGTCCTGAATTACACATGCAGACATAGTCCACAACTGGGATTCTGACTTTCATATGTGAACATCCAGCCACAGGTGGGATGGTGACTCATTTTTAAACGCAGCTCATAGGCAGTTAAGAACTCTTATTTGGACCCATCCAAGTAGAAAGATGTTGACTGTCATACCAGGGCTTAAAGCTAAAGGCACAAGGAGGGGTCCGTGCCTGCTTAAGGTTTCAGGGAGAATTGTTACATTCATGCATACTCTATAAAGGCTTCATATGGTGAAGAGAGTGTCCTGACAGGGCCCAGAACAAAAGTAGATTGTGACACTCATATCTACTCTGAGCCAAGAGTAAAAATTGTCATCTTTTCACATGAACACAGCCCACTGTTGAGGTTCCAAATCTCACACCTGGAGGCGGTTGAGAGATGAATAATTGACTCTCATAAGTGGATGCGATCCATGTTTGAGTCAGTGACTCTAAAACCAACATTCAGCAAACACGTGACGCTGTGACTCCATTAAGGGGCCACGGTCCTCGGGAAAGACTGAAGCTGCCATGCACAGATCCAGTGCACCATTGAGACTGTGACTTGTACACTTACACCCAACAAACACAATGTGTTTGCTCTCACACCTAGATATGGGACATGTGCAGGATTGTCAGTCTCAGCCCTGGACTTTCCTGGAGGTATAACTGTGAAATATATCTCGGCCCAGCTCGTGAGTGACTTGACTCTTCTGCGTAGCCCAGCCCATGATAAAATTGTGACATTATTGAACCCAGCACCTATGACCCCCCTCTTCTGCCTGGGTCCTGTCAAAAAGAGAGATTGTGACAAATCACTGGGACAAGCACCCACATGATGTGACTCTCCTCTTTTCCCTGGGCCCTGCATATTTTGTATATTGTGACATACTGCTGGGCATAATACCTAGGGAATTGATGGCTACTGCCTGAGCCCTGTTCACAGGGGGCCTTGGGACATCTCTCTGCATTCACCACCTAAAAAAAGTGTGTGCACCCTGCCTACAAAGAAGATTGTAGCAGATCACTTGTCTTAGCAACCAAGTGATGCGAGTCTCCTGTCCTGCCTTGGTGCTGCTCACAGGGGACATTATAACATATACTTGGTGCTGGCCCCATGTTTTGTAATTTTTCTGCCAGGGGTCTACCATATAAGCTATATTGCTGGGTCCAACACCCAGGTTATGCAGCTCTCCTTTCCGTGCTCTGCCTACAGGGGACATTGTGACTTATCTCTGCACCCATCACTCAGGTGATGTGACTTGCTTCTGCTGACTGATTCCTGTTCAAGTGGACATTGTGACATATCAATGGGGGCACCATCTAGCTGATGTAACTATTCTCTTCTGCCTAGGTTCTTCCTGCAGTGGAAATTGTGATGTATCACTGGGCTTAACACCAAAGTGACATTAATTTTTTGCCTTGGTTCTTCCCTCAGAAGACATTGTAATATATTGCTGGGCTCAGCACCAAAACGATGTGGATTTCCTGTCTGGACCCTGCATACAGGAGTCCCTGTGACATATCTCTTGACTCATCAACTATTTGATGTGACTCTCCTCTGTTCCCTGAGCTTTGCCTATAGGAAAGCGTCAGCCTGGACTCCAGAGTCAGCCACCCACCCCTGCACAGACAAGGAGAGGTCTCATTAAGCTTCAGCACAGTCTGGGACCATAGCTTTTTTTGTAACGATTTGTTCGGCATGAGGCCCACTCACAAGGGCCCTTCGTGACTGGACTCAAGGAAAACGAAAAGGCCTACTTGTTTTTGCGATTTTCTGTTGTTTTTCAATAACTATTTCTCAGAAACAGTGCTGGATGAATTCCACAAGGGGTTCACACAACCTGTTCCAGGACTTAGTGACCATTGTTTCTGTCCATGTTCATTGAGTTCAAATTTAATATTTAACTTTTCCTCCTCATTCAGCCTCAATTTGACACTGAATCATAGGAAAATATTTTTACAGTTATACGGGGAAGTCACAACTGGTATAGATTACAGATAGAGCAGAGGAGAATTAAAAGCACAATTAATAGAAACCACACCCACCACGGCCAACGCCAATGCTAGTTTGACAGCCAGTCCATGATGGGGTCCTGATGGTTAGATTCTAACTGTTTTACTTGTCCTTGCATGTCTTCGGCAAGGAGAGTAATACTGCGAGAACTGTCAGGGATACACACAACATTCAGAATGCAGCAAGACTCAAACCCCTCCTTGGGCTGCGGTAAACATACCTAATGCCATTCGATTTTGCAACACAACAGTACACAGCTGAACAAGTTCTTCTGATAACAACAGAAGTCCAGTGCTACTATCTTAGGAGCTTTTACTATATGTGGACTTAATATTTTAATTTGTTGCTGAAGCAGGATTGTACGAGGGGCAAGGGAGAATACTGTGATAGTTTTCCACCACCAGGGAGTCTGGCACGTTCATAACCAGCTACCTTTGTAAGCATCTAGATTATTGGGGAAGGGAATATTATCCCGGATGGTGAATGGAATTAATGGCACCCCCAAGTGAATCTCCCCATCCAATAAGGGGGCAGATAGGCCACCCATAGGGTCTGCATACCCAGAGGGCCCCCCAGGGGACAGCAATGGTTATACTACAATTATAGTGTATTAAGATGTTATTAAAGTAGCAAAGGAAGTCCAGGTTGGATTGCAAGTGTTGTTGTTTTGGCCCCATTTGTAGTGACAGAGCCATTCAGAAATATTGGCAAGGACAACTCTGCAAGGCAGTCCATTTCCTGTGGCCTCTGGCAATTTGATGCATAGCCAGCATTGACTGCGGTTAGCTTCTGTCGCAGTGGTTGCTGCCCAGTTGATGAATTCACTCTCCACCTCAGACCTGATGACCCAGGTACTGATTACTAGTAGACAGGTTATTCTCTGTAACAACAAAACTGAAGGGGAACATAATATTGTTTTTCATTTTTAGGAAACTGTACTACCCTTTTATTTTCTGCTCCCATACCTACAAGGTCACAGCCTTAGGGGCGGGATCTGATGGAGGCTGTATCCATATTTTCGTTCCAGGATTTAAGCTACCTATACCAGTGGATCTTAATTTCCCAGTTCTGTACGTAGCCTCTGTTGGGGCAGAGATTTCCTCAGGGGTTAATTGTTAACAAGGTACCAGGTACCACTGACAATTGAGCAACCCGAATCTGCGGTCTTGTAACAAAAGAATGTGGAGTGGTATTGTGTAAAGTGAACTTTAACTGTTCCTGGTAATCATTATCAATTATACCACCATACATTATAATGTGTCTCATCGCCAGGCTTGAATGTGTTGTAATCCATTCACCCACATTCAAGTTTGCATTTATGCTGGAAATTTTGGCCTGTTGATCTACCTGCTGTTTAGTCTGTCAAGAGAATGCAGAGATGCATGAGAATCAATATGAAAAACAGCAATAATAGTAATGTGCATCAGGATTCAGGTATCTTCCTAGTATTGTTTTCTCCAAACCTCTTTATTCATTATTCACTATTTGTTTCATTGCCATTCGGGCAACTAGGTAGTAAGACCATTTTCTGCTGACCAACAGTCGGTATACAAGCAACAAATTGCTCTGGCCTCCTCCTGAATAGTTCGGAGGATGGCTTCTAGTTCAGCCAGCTGGCTGCTCACACCCCTCCCTTCATCAGAAACGCTTATGTTTTTAACAGGATTATAAGCCACGGCCTCCCAGCATCAGGTCCCATCAATGTATTTGGTGGAACTATCAGTAACCAAGCGTGTTTCTGATCCTCTGGGCTTAGTTCTTTAAAGGATTTGCCCCATTGGGCAGGGGAGGTTTCCTTCCCTATATGCAGGACTTGCCCTGTGGTTTCCTGAGTTGGCAAGTTTTGCACATCTTCAAGTAAAAATGATACCGCTTTTAGTTCTGGCTTATCCTGGTCTTGTATGTACCATTTCCATTTTATGATACTACATTCTTGAGTGTACCCTATCCAATGGGTTTTGAGGGAGCTCATGACCCAAGTCATAATAGGAATTTGGGGCCTCATAAAAACATCATGATTAAAACAAAGGTGTTCTGCTTCCTTCAAGCGCAGTAGAAGGCCAACAGCTGCTTCTCAAAGAGTATAAGCTTTGCCAGCCTCTGGCAGCTTCTGGGTCTAAAACTCCAAAGGTATCTTCTTCCCATCTTGTTTCTACCTAAGGCTCCAATTAGCATGTTGATGTAGGACAGTTACTTGCAGTTCTGTTGACTCATCCTATAAGGGCCATAGATCCAGGGCCAGTTGCTCAGCTTGTTTTGCTTGTTGAAAAGCCAGGCTGTCTTTCTCTCTCCAGTGATATTCATAGTGTTTTCTAGTGACTGCATGCAGAGGTTGTAATATGTTACCCAAGTGGGGAATATGATGTCTCCAGAATCCAAACAAGCCAATACAATTTTGGACCTCCTTTTCAGTGGTAGGGCTGCAAATTCTAGTATTTTAGCGTTAGCCTTTGGTAAAATGGACTGTTTCCCTGCAGTCCATAGGATGCCAAGGAACTTTACACTTTGTGCAGGCCATTGAATTTTATTAGAGTTAACTTCCCATCCTTGAGATAGGATTTGGGTTTTTACCCTCTTCTGCCCTGAAAACTGACTAGTTATTCAGTTTTACCCTGACTGGGCAACTCGGACAGCTGCTTTTTCAGCAATAGGCTGATAGCTTTGAGCCTGATCAGTCAAGACAGGCCTGGCATGGTACCAGGGTCAGTCTGGAAGTCAGATTAAAATTTTCCTTTTCCAGCTTACATTTCTCTTGTAACAACCAGTCCCTACATTGACACTTTAACTTATAAGAAGTAAGCAAGCATCATCAATGCTGGGAAATTCCCTCAGCATTACAATTACCAACTGGGACTCCCTGCTGCACCTCACGCACAGCCAGTGATTCAAACAAACTTTATCCCACTTAAATGGCAATGCAGATATAATAAGCAAATATATAAGCAAGTTGCAATGGGACGGGGAGAAGGGAAAAGATATATATATATATTTAAACTCACCAAACTATGGAGGATTCACCACAAGACTGTGAAGCAACAGCCTGGGCTCCAGATTGGCCACTCATCCGTCCACAGACAACGTGAGATCTCATGAAGCTTTGGCGCAGTCTGGAACCCCAGCTCTTTTTGTAATGAGTTATTTGGCATGAAGTCCGGTCAGGAAGGCTATTCACAACGGGGCTCAAGGAACACAAAAAGGTCAACTTGTTTTTTTGATTGTCTATTGTTTTTCAATAACTAAGATATAGGAATAAATTGAAATAGAGATTTATCTGAAACAGCGCTGGATGAGGGCTTCAAGGGGCTCACACAACCTGTTCCGGGACTTGGTGACCATTGTTTGAGTCCATGTCCAATTTAGTTCAAATTTAATATTTACCTTTTACTCCAAAAAGTGTCAAAAGTAATTCCTTCAAATGCAGGAAATTATGTAGCTACTCACAAACTAAACTTCTCAAACAAAAGTCATAAATAGAGTACAGAGATAAAAAATAAAATAAAATCTAACTACATCTGTCTACAGGGGATTCAATTTATTTATTTATTTATTTATTTTAGAGACATGGTATTGCTTTGTTTCCCAGGCTGGTCTCAAACTTCTGGGCTCAAGTTAACCTCCCACCTCAATCTCCTAAAATGCTCGGATGACAGATATGAGCCATCTTACTATATAGTAACAAAAACAGACTAAAAGTGGCAAGATGCATCAAAACAATTTTATGCAAATCGTAATGAAATGAAGACAACGTCACGAGCACATTATGCAAAATACTTTTTAAATAACTGTCTTAGTTTATAAAATAAATTATAAGTTAAAACTGTCAAAGAAAACAAAGGACAAAATAATAAAAAAGTTTATTCACTGGAAACCTAGGAAAATTATATACATTTATATAATATACATTTATATAATTGTGTGTATTTATCTAATTATGTATACAGACACACATATATATGAACCTCACATGAAGATTTTAAAATAAATCAATAATATTTTGTCAGAACATAAACAAAAAACTGCAATATACTGAGAACAATATTTTAATACACCAGTTCTGTAATTAATAATAAAGCCAGAGAGAATGTTAAGAAGAAAACAGAGGACATGAAAATACTGTAAAACAGTTAGATGTAACAGATGCATAGAGATCACTCTACACAACAACAAAACTCACAGTCTTGTCAAAAGCTCATAAAACATTGTCCTAAAAATAAATATAAGGAAAAAAATTTTTTAACAGAATTAAAAAAAATTGAATGTTACAGAAAACACTTCAAAAAATCAATCAACCCAGGAGCCGGTTTTTTGAAAAGATTAACAAAATAGATAGACCACTAGTAAGACAAATAAAGGAGAAAAGAGAGAAGAATCAAAGAGACGCAATAAAAAACGACAAAGGGGATATCACCACGAAACCCACAGAAATACAAACTACCATCAGAGAATACTATAAACACCTCTACGGAAATAAAGTGGAAAACCTAGAAGAAATTGATAAATTCCTGGAAACATCCACACCTCCAAGACTAAACGAGGAAGAAGTTGAATCTCTGAGTAGACCAATAGCAGGTTCTGAAATTGAGGCAATAATTAATAGCTTATGAACCAAAAAAAGTCCATGACCAGACGAATTCACAACGGAATTCTACCAGAGGTACAAAGAGGAGCTGCTACCATCCCTTCTGAAACTATTCGAATCAAGAGAAAAAGAGGGAATCTTCCTTAACTCATTTTATGAGGTCAGCATCATCCTGATACCAAAGCCTGGCAGAAGCACAACAAAAAAACAATATCCCTGATGAACATCAATGCAAACATCCTCAATAAAATGCTGACAAACCAAATCCAGCAGCACATCCAAAAGCTTACCCACCACGATCAATTCAGCTTCATCCCTGGGATGCAAGCCTGGTTCAACATATGCAAATCAATAAACATAATTCATCACATAAACAGAACCAATGACAAAAATCTCATGACTATCTCAATAGATGCAGAAAAGGCCTTCAACAAAACTCAACAGCCTTTCATGATAAAAACTCTAAATAAACTAGGTATTGATGGAACACATCTGAAAATAATAAGAGCTATTTATGACAAACCCACAGCCAATATCATGCAGAATGGGCAAAACCTGGAAGCATTCCCTTTGAAAACCAGCACAAGACAACGATGCCCTCTCTCACCACTCCCACTCAACATAGTATTGGAAGTTCTGGCCAGGGCCATCAGGCAAGAGAAAGAAATAAAGGACATTCGATTAGGAAAAAGAGGAAGCCAAATTGTCTCTGTTTGCAGATGACATGATTGTATATTTAGAAAACCCCATTGTCTCAGCCCAAAATCTCCTTAAATCTGATAAGCAACTTCAGCAAAGTCTCAGGATACAAAATAATGTGCAAAAATCACAAGTATTTCCATACACCAATAACAGATGAACAGAGAGCCAAATTATGAGTGAACTCCCACTCAACAATTGCTACAAAGAGAATAAAATACCTAGGAATCCAACTTACAAGGGATGTGAAGGACATTTTCAAGGAGAACTACAAACCACTGCTCCATGAAATAAAAGCGGACACAAACAAATGGAAGAACATTCCATGCTCCTGGAAAGGAAGAATCAATATCATGAAAATGACCATGCTGCCCAAGATAACTTACAGATTCAATGCTATCCCCATCAAGCTACCACTGACTTTCTTCACAGAATTGGAAAAAACTACTTTGAAGTTCACATGGAACCAAAAAACAGCCTGCATAGGCAAGAAAATCCTACACAAAAAGAGAAAAGCTGCAGGTATCACACTACCTGACTTCAATCTATACTACAGGTCTACAGTAACAAAAACAGCATGGTACTGGTACCAAAACAGATATATAGAGCAATGGAAAAAAACAGAGGCCTCAGAAATACCATCACACATCTACAACCATTGGATCTTCGACAAATGTGACAAAAACAAACAATGGGGAAAGGATTTCTTATTTAATAAATGTTGCTGGGAAAAATGGCGAGCCATATGCAGAAAACTGAAACTGGATTTCTTCCTTACACCCTATACATAAATTGACTCAAGATGGATTAAAGACTTAAATGTAAGACCCAAAACCATAAAAACCTAAGAGAAAACCTGGGCAATACCATTCAGGACATAGGCATGGGCAAAGACTTCATGACTAAAACACCAAAAACAATGGCAACAAAAGCCAAAATAGACAAATGAAATCTAATTAAACTTAAAAGCTTCTACACAGCAAACGAAACTATCATTAGAGTGAACAGGCAACCTACAGAATGGGAGAAAATTTTTGCAATCTACCCATCTGACAAAGGACTCACATCCAGAATCTACAAAGAATTTAAACAAATTTACAAGAAAAAAACGAGCAATCCCATCAAAAAGTGGGCAAAGGATATGAACAGACACTTCTCAAAAGAAGACATTTATGTAACCAACAGACATGAAAAATTGCTCATCATCACTGGTCATCAGAGAAATGCAAATGAAAACCACAATGAGATACCATCTTACGCTAGTTAGAATGGGGATCATTAAAATGTCAGGAAACAACAGATGCTGGAGAGGACGTGGAAAAACAAAAACGCTTTTACACTGTGGGTTGGAGTGTAAATTAGTTCAAACACTGTGGAAGACAGTGTGGTAATTCCTCAAGTATCTACAACCAGAAATACCATTTGACCCAGCAATCCCATTACTGGGTATATATCCAAAGGATTATGAATCATGCTACTATAAAAACACATGCACACGTATGTTTATTGTGGCACTGTTCAGAATAGCAAAGTCTTGGAACCAACCCAAATGTCCATCAATGATAGACTGGATTAAGAAATTGTGACACATATACCCCATGGAATACTACGCAGCCTTAAAAAAGGATGAGTTCATGTCATTTGCAGGGACATGGATGAAGCTGGAAACCATCATTCTCAGCAAACTATCACAAGGACAGAAAAACAAACACTGCATGTTTTCACTCATAGGTAGGAGTTAAACAATGAGAACATGTGGACACAGGACAGGGAACATCAAACGCTAGTGCCTGTTTGGGGGTGGGGGGCTATGAAAGGGATAGCATTAGGAGAACACTTAATGTAAATGTTGAGTTGATGGGTGCAGCAAACCAACATAACACATGTATACCTGTATAACAAACCTGTACGTTCTGCACATGTATCCTAGAACTTAAAGTATAATAAAAACTGAAGGCTACAGACTATAATTTCTGACCAAAATGGATTAAAACTAGAAATCAATAACCGAAGAAAATTCATAAAATTCACAAATACATGATAATTAAACAATTTATTCTTCAACATGTTTTTGTTCAAGAGTTAAAAATTTAATATTTTGAACGTGTCTATAATGCCCAAAGTGAGCTGCAGATTTAATACAATCCCTATGAAATTCTTAATATTATTTTTGACAGAAACAGAGAATGTGACTCCCCAAAGTATACGGAATTTCAGGGGACCACATAAAAAAAGTTGGAAGCATTACAATTCCTGATTTCAAGACATGTTAGAAATCTACAGTAATCAAAATCTTATGTTACTAGCATAAAGACAGACAATTAGACTAATAAAAAAATCTTTGCCACTGCTGCAGACAGTGCCTGCATCATCCTGCAGACTGACAATGATCATTTTGCTGCTGATGACTTTAAAGTGTGAGACAGACCTGGCCATGTGCCAGTTTGTGGAGTGCGACATTACTGATAACACCAGTGTCAGTCAGCCTCTGCTGGAGACAGAGATGGAGGCCCTCAAGGAAGAGCTGCTCTTCATGAAGAATCATGAGGAGGAAGTTAAAGGTCTATAATACCTGATTTCCAGCTCTTGGTTGACCATGGAGGTAGATGTCCCCAAGTCTCAGGACCTTGGCAAGATCATGACAGGCATCTGGGCCCAATATGACGAGATGGCTGAGAACAGCTGAGAGGAGCTGGACAAGTACTGGTCCCAGCAGACTGAGGAGAGCACCAGAGTAGTCACCATGCAGTCCGCTGAGATCGGAGCTGCTGAGAGGATGCTCAGGGGGTTGAGATGTACAGTCCAGTCCTTGGATATCGAACTGGACTCAATGAGATATCTGAAAGTCAGCTTGGAGAACAGCCTAAGGGAGGTAGACGCAGATGGAGCAGCTCAACAGGATCCTGCTGCACCTGGAGTCAGAGCTATCCCAAAACCGGGAAGAGAGGTACCACGCCCAAGAGCACGAGGACCTGTGGAACATCAAGGTCGAGCTGGAGGCTGAGATTGCCACTTACTGCCGCCTGCTAGAAGACGGGGAGGATTTCAATCTCCTGGATGCTCTGGACAGCAGTAAATACCTGCAAGCTATCCAAAAGAACAGCCCCCGCAGGATAGTGGACGGGAAAGTGGTGTCTGAGACCAACAATACAGACTTTTTGTTGTGCTAAGCCATCAGAAGCAAGGTCCCTTTGGGGAGCAGGAGGCCAGTAAAAAGTTCAGAGGTAAAAAAAAATTAACTTCAAATCACAGAAGTGTTTCCTTCAACACAAAAGTAATATAGATTCATTAATATATAGAAGTGGAAATTAAGACAATTTCCACAACTACTCACCCAGAGAGGATTAAAAAAATAATTGACCACCAACTAATTAAACAAATACACAAGTCATAAATAAAGTATGAGTAATGTTTATACAAGCAAATGAACAGAGAATTATGTTGGCAATAGACGTGTGGTTGATTCATATTTGACTGATTCATATTCAACTGTACACAGTTGAATATAGTCATACAAAATTATAATATATAGGCAGAATCTAAAAACACAATTAAATAATGTAAGGCAGCCTATCCTAACAAGGAAATACAAGAATATATAATATTAGAAAATAAAATTAAATAAACATTAGCCTGTGAAATACCGAATAAACAAAGCATGCAACGGAAGAAGACTCTTTCCAGATAACTAGCATGTTCAACCATAACTGGGCTCCCATAAAGAGCAGATTTTGAATTCTTAGCATATGGTTAGAGTAACAAAATTGCACAACAAATACATTATAATCTCCCATAAAGAGCATTTAGAAGAAAATTTTAATAAAGATTTCAATGATATTAGAGACACTTTTTATTATGTTCTTAATATATTACTCCTCTTTTTATACAAATGGAAAGGCTATAATTTATTTATTTTTTTTAATTTTTTGAGATGGAGTCTCGCTTTGTCACCCAAGCTGGAGTGTAGTGGCGAGACCTCGGCTCACTGCAACCTCCACCTCCCTGGTTCACGCCATTCTCCTGCCTCAGCCTCCTGAGTAGCTGGGACTACAGGCGCCCACCATCACGCCCGGCTAATTTTTGTGTATTTTTAGTATACACGGGGTTTCACCGTGTTAGCCAGGAAGGTCTTGATCTTCTGACCTCGTGATCCACCCGTCTCGGCCTCCCAAAGTACTGGGATTACAGGCTTGAGTCACCGCTCCTCGCCGGCGATATTTTTTGTAGTTTTAGTAGAGACAGGATTTCACCATGTTGGCCAGGCTGGTCTTGAACTCCTGACCTCATGATCCACCTATCTCGACCTTTTAATGTGCTGTGATTACAAGCATGAAACACAGCACTGGCCTATAATTTATTATTTTTAAAACAAAGAAAAGCCTTACATTTTTACATATGGGAACAACATGAATATTGTAAAATATGCTGTGGAAAACTACAATATAATAAGCAATTAGAAATAAATTATACTATCATTCAGATAAATGTTGAGGAAAGTAAATGGAAACACTAATGATAAGTTTTTCTATGCAGTGAACTTAGACACAAACTAAAACTTTTCTTAATGTGATGTGCATATCATCCAATTCACTTTTTATATAACACATAAATTCAAGTATGTTTTCTGAAACCCCTGAAGCTAAAGTTATAGGCTAATTTGACATACGTAAAAACAGGACAGGGAAAACATACAGATCACAGTCCCACTAAGCTTTATATAAGATTAATTAATAAAATAACTCATTAAGAAATAATGTAACAGTTAAGAATTTGTTCTATTCCTGGCATGTTTCTAAGTTTTTCTATGGATTAAGGTCCTTAAAAATTCTTTGAGATGAGTAGATACAATAAACTATTCCATAGGTGATATGTTTGGCATAGAGAGTTCACATTTCTAAGTTAGTTTCTACTAAGGGAAAGAAAACTTTTTGACCTACATTACCAGAGATGAAAAAAAGAATAAAGTGAAATAGAAGATTCAACTTTATCATATCTGCTGAGGTGCTTTGGGCTCTGATAAATTTTTTTTCTGATTTTTTTGCAGGAACACATTTGAAATAATAGGACTGAAAATTATGAGGAGGAAACATTTGTCCTTGGTGTTTCTGAAATATGTGAACCAAACCCCAATGCCTGCACTTTTGCTCTCACAAACTTCTGACATGAGGCACAGATTTTTACAAAACAGCTTAACATAGAAGTCTCACAAAATGTGCAGATTTCCTCAGATCCCAAAAACAATGGAAAAGCACTCAGACCACAAGAGCTTCATGGGAATAGCAGAAAGAAGAGGTGAACTTTGGCTGTCACTGTGAATGCCCTGGAATGTTAGTGGATGAACAGAGAAGCCTTAGAAGATTTAAGAGCATAATAAGCATAGGGTAGGAAATTTCCACCTGTGGCAGCAAAAGAAGTAAATTTAGAATTTTCCAGAACCAATTTCTTTGAAGCAGAACTTCCAACACCACATTTTTAAGGTTTTCTCCTTGGCCTTTGCACCTCTCATCTTTGTTATTTGTTTATTCTTCCCTATTGGGGTGTTGCCTATTATTCTCTCTCTTTTTACATTCCAAAGACATTTCCTTTACTGTAGGACAGGGGCATCCACGGGAGACTACAGCCATGAGTTCTTAGTTTCTGTTTCTGGTTGAGCCAGTAAGGCCCTTTCCTCATCCCCCTTTTCCACTTATCACTAGACACAGAACCCAAAAACCATTGCTGCAGGCTGCTAAAAACCTAAAACAAAACAGAGCCATAACAAAAACAAAACAAGGCGGGTTGGAAAAGCTTGCTGTACGAGGCAACCAGGTCTGGCTTATATTCACCACATCCCTTCTTCTTTCCCAGAACAGCAATTGGGCTCAAGAGAAAACGTCCAACTTTTAGTATATCCCTCAGTATAGAATGAGAACAGTGGAACATATGTTCAAAGGTTTGGCTTTGTGGGCTACCGCTGATGACTAGATTCTGTCTCCCCAAACAGGGAATGCTAAAGGAAATGGCAGAGTAATGAGAATGATAACTTATGACTGCTGAGAAGAGAAGTTACATGCTTACCACAGCCTCAGAGAAACAAACACTACAATCAACTGCGGAAGCAAAGGACCACAGTGTCTGGAAAACAATGGGAAAAAATATCTTTACCTTAAAAATCCACACACAAGCCCAGAGAAGACACATTGAAGACACTGTTAATGAAGAACCAGGATGTACAGCCTCACTGATTGTTGTATTATCTTGTAGTAAGCAAGTTTGTACATACTACATTACACAGTTGTTTTATAAATTTCTGAATCTCATCAAAAGATTGCAGGGCATACAGAAAAGGACGAAAACATGTCCCAATTGAAGAAATAAAATAAACCTACAAATATTGATCTTTAAAAATCTTTGTTGACTTTTAAAGGTCAAAATTTGTAGGTTTATTCTTTGTTGTTGTTGTTTTTGCATTATATAATTTTGAAAATCAAAATAATTATCAAAGCTCCTTAATGATATGAACACTCCTCCAGTCCGCAGGGCTCCGGCAAGGGAGGAGCTTAGACACCATGCGGGACACCCGGGTGGACCCCCAACCCACGCCCGAGGCTCAGAGCAGGAGCAAGGACCTGGCTGCACCAGGCCGAAGCCGCCTCCACCCCCAGCGGTCGCGGACTCCAGGAGCTCCAGACCTGGGGTCGTGGTGAGATTCGTTGATTGACTGCGCGATGGTGGCTGAGTTGCAACCAAATGGGTTTCATCACCTTAAATGGTTTTGAACCAATGAAGCTATATTCCCTTAAAGAGACGGACAGCCCATCGTGTGAACTATAGAGTTTGTGAACAAATTTATATTGGGTTCATAGTGGCATCATGCACACAGACTCCTGCGAGTTCCCCTAAGTTCTTAGAGGACTGCTTTACCTTTTGATCTGAGAGTTGCAAAGTTCCGTAAAGAATGGCCCTGTGGATAAGCGCTAAGTCAAGAGACAGCGATTGGACAGAATTTGTGAAGGAATTCGCCGCCAGATCACGAAAGACCCCCTAAGCCCCCGCTCACTGGCAGCGTTCCTGGTCGGCCGTGACTGCACTGTGGACATGCCCATCCTGAAGGCCACCGTGGCCTTCTATGATGCAGTCCACGCAGGAAATCCACGAGAAAGTTCTAAACAGAGCCGTGGGCCCCATGATGCACCACACAATCACCTCACCAGGGAGGTTCTGGCAAATTTCAAGTCCTTGAGAGTGATCGTGGGGGTGGGCAGTGGCTATGACAACGTGGACATCAAGGCTGCCAGCGAGCTCGGAATTGCTGTGTGAAACATCCCGTCCGCAGCCGTGGAAGAGACAGCCAATTCCACCAACTGCCACATTCTCAACATGTACCGGAGGAACACATGGCTGTACCAGGCACTGTGGGAAGGCAAGCGGGTTCAGAGCATGGAGCAGATCTGCGAGGTGGCCTCGGGAGTGGCCCGCATTCGTGGGAAGACGCTGGGCCTCATCGGCTAGGGTCGCACGCAGCAGGCTTTTGCAGTTCCAGCCACAGCCTTTGGATTCAGCGTCATGTTTTATTACCCCTACTTGCAGGATGGGATCGAGCAGTCCCTGGGCATGCAGAGGGTCTACACCCTGCAGGATTGGCTGTATCAGAGCGACTGCATCTCCTTGCACTGCAGTCTCAACGAACTTAAGCACCACCTCATCAATGACTTTACCATAAAGCAGATGAGGCAGGGAGCATTCCTTGTGAACGCAGCCCGTGGTGGCCTGGTGGACGAGAGAGCCTTAGCACAGGCCCTCAAGGAAGGCAGGATACGAAGGGCAGTCGTCGACGTGAACGAGTCGCAGCCCTTTAGCTTTGCTCAGGGTCCGTTGAAAGATGCCCCCAATCTCATCTGCACTCCTCTCACTGCCTGCTACAGCCAGCAGGTGTCACTGGAGATGAGGGAGACAGCTGCCACCGAGCTCCGCCGAGCCATCACAGGTCGCATCCCAGGAAGCTTAAGAAACTGTGTGAACGAGGAATTC